>NC_000002.12:31492377-31645128 GCF_000001405.40 Homo sapiens | reverse complement strand
GTTGTGGTATGTGTTACTAGAGAAACAAGTGTGATGCCAGAATTAGGGTTATAGCTGACACAAAACAAGTTGTATCTGTTTCTCAAAATTGCGATGTAAGTAGGCATGCCACTTGTATCTTCAGAAAAGAATAAGTTGTTAACAACTAAACACATTAACTCAGTTTTGAGATAAATTAATAAGCTTGCCTTTGGGTTTGAATCTGGACATATTATTTATGAATATTAATTTTTCCTGAACCATTTTAGAGAAATATGAAAACATCACACCTCTCTGTCCTTTAATACTTCAGTGTGTATTTCCTAGGAACAAATACATTCTCTTTCATAATCAGTATAATTACAAATAAGGAAATTTAACATTTATGGATTATGATGATGCAATCAGCAGTCAATATTTGAATTTTGTCAATTGTTTCCAATATGTCCTTTATATCAAGGGTTCTCAATCCACAGGCTGTGGACTGGTACGGGTCCTGACCTGTTAGGAACCGGGCCACACAGCAGGAGGTGAGCCGCAGGCCAGAGAGCATCACCGCCTGAGCTCTGCCTCCTGTCAGATCAGCTGCCGCATTAGATTCTCACAGGAGCAAGAACCCTATTGTGAACTGCACATGCGAGGGATCCAGGTTGTGTGCACCTTATGAGAATTTAACTAGCCCCACCACCAGCCACTCCCAAAAAATTGTCTTCCATGAAATAGGTCCCTGGTGCCAAAAAGGTTGAGGACCAACGCTTTATAGGTATTCCTCTTCTTCCTCCATCTGTCCTGGCTCAAAATCCAGTCCTGGATCGTGCATCGCATTTTTTGGTCCTGGCTCTCTGGTCATTTAACTGGAACAATATCTCAGGCTTTCTTTGTGTTTTCTGACCTTGACATTTTTGAAGAGTGCAGGTTAGTTATTTTATAGTCTCTCAACTTGAGTTTGCCTGATGTTTTCTCATTATTACATATTACTTTGGTATTTTTATTTTTGCAGGATTAGCACGGAAGTGATGTTGCAGCAATATCAGTATGCTTATCCCAACATTTGACAATTTAATTTTGATCACTTGGTTGTGATGGTGCCCATAACATTCCTCCACTGTGAAGTTACTATCTTCCCCTATGATTAATAAATTGATTATGAAAGATTCTTTAAGGCTATTTGAATATTCAGCTCTTTAGAATGCTTTCACACATGAATTTTTAGCAACTATTGATGATTTTCTAATTCTATCCTTCTATAATTATTAGTTGCTATTCTATTGTAAGGAAGTGTTCCTCTCCCCATTTATTGACTGTTGATATATGTATTCATATCAGCATGGACACATGGATTTTACTTCACTCAGTGGATTATAATTGCTTATCACAATTACTTATTTTGAGGCTCAAATTTCCCCAGATTTAACCTGCGGTAGACTCTTGTATCTTTTTTACATAATTCTGTGAGCACTTCTTTACCTTCTGCCACAGGAAGATGTTCTGTGTTCATTATATATATTTTTTCTGCCCCTGTCCTGAAATTAGCCTTTTCTCCAAGTGCATTAGTTCCTTTTGGTGGAAAATGCTATTTATAAATAAAGATCTAGGTACTACGTATGCACATTGCCCTGATGTGTCATTGGTCCTATGCCCCCTCAGGAGACAAAGCTAAAAAAAAATACACAGATATATAAATAAGTACACACATATCTATATTTATTTGACTATTTATCTATCTATTTAAAAATCCTTCATGTTCATGCTGACTGTTCTAATGTAACATCGCATACCACATTTTCATCTTTTCTTTTTCCATATTTGTAATTTCTTTAACAATGAGAAAACTGGCTCGAATTGTCTTGAATATATTTATACATTTGCTCAAACCAAGAAGACACAAGGAGTAGTTTGATAATCTCTAATCCATACTTCCGTGCAAAGCAAATGTAACAATTATATTAAAATTTGCCAATTTCCTTGAGGTAAATTTCATATATAATGAAATGCACAAATCTTAAGAGGACTATTTGATGAATTTTTATGAATGCTTGCACTTATGTAACTCAAACCTGTATCAAGATACAGAATGTTTTTATCATGCTAGAAAGATTTCCATGTCCCTTCCCATGCAGTGTCCCTCCTGCCCAGATAACTATTTTTCTGATCTTTTTTTTTCCACCGTAAATTAACTTTACCTGCTTTGGAACATTATATAAATGGAAGCACTGAATATATACTTTTTTGCATACATAGCATAATGTCTATGAGATGAATCCACAATTTTGCATGTGTCAATAGTATCAGTAGTAGTCACTTTTTGTCTGAGTAGTAGTTTGGCTAAGTTGTTGGAATATATAGAATACAATTTTTGGAGTCTATTCTCCTCTTAGTGGACATTTGGGTTGTTTATAGTTTTAGGTTATTATTAGTAAAGTTTCTATGTACTTTCTTGTATGAGTATGTTTGTGGACTTTTCATTTTTTGGGGGGGATGAATACCTTGGCGTTGAATTGTTGGATCATAAAGTAGGTGTATTTTAACTTTATAAAACTGTCAACATTTTTGTTAACTTTTTTGGTGTTATTCTTTTTATTTTCAGACATTCTAGTAAATGTGTAATGGCATTATGTAGTGGTTTTAATTTTAGCTTATCTGATGACTAATGATATTGATAACTTTTTTGATTATGAGCTATTTTTCTATCTTCTTTTGTGAAGTGTTTGTTCAAGTATTTCACCTATATTTTAATGGGGTTTTTGTCTTTTTAATATTGAGTTGTAAGAGTTCTCTATAGATTCAGATGCAAGGACTTGGTCAAAAAGTACTTGGTCAGAAAGGTCAAAAAAATTGTCTCCTATGTTTTCTTCTTGAAGTTTTACAGTTTCAGGTTTTAAATTTAGCTTTATGATCCACTTTGAATTAATTTTTGTGTGTGCTGTGAATTATAGGTAAAAAATCCATATGTTTGGTATATGGACATCTAATTTTTCCACACTATTTATTGAAGACTTTCCTTTCTCAACTGAATTACCTTTAAGCCTTTGTCTGTCTCAGTTGATCACATTTGTGGATCTATTTCTGGGCTATATTTTGTTACAATATTCTATGTTTCTATCTTTTCACCAATACCATATCACCTTTATTGTGATATCTTTTTAGTATGTCTCGGAATCAGCTTGTGTAAGCCCTTCAACTTTATTCTTTTTTTTCAGACTTATTTGGCTATTCTAGTTGCTTTGCTTTTCCATATAAGCTTAGAAGCTTAATAATTCTACTGAAAATCCTGTTGAGATTTTGACTGAGGTTGCAATGAATCTGTAGATTAATTGGAAGTTAAGTGATATTTTAACAATGTTGAGTGATCCAAAGAGTGTTGTTTTTTTCCCCCAGGAATGGATCTTGAATTCTGTCCAAACTTTTTCTGTGTTCATTGAAATGATTATATATAGCTTTTCTCTTTACTCTCTTAATCTGTGAATTACATTAATTGATTTTCAAATGTAGAGCCAACCTTTCTATCTTAGGAATAATACCACGTGTTCATAATCTATTACCTTTTAAATATATTTCTGTATTTGATTTGTTAATATATTGTTGAAGATTTTTATAAGAGATATTGTAAAGGATGGTCACAAGTTTATGTCTTGTATAACATTCTTTATGCCTGAAGAACTTCCTTTACTATTTCTTGTAATGTAAGCCTGCCAGAAATGAATTGTCTCAGCTTTTGAAAGCATGAAAAATTATTTTACCCTCATTTTTCAAAGATACTTTTACTGCACATAGAATTATGGCTAACAATATTTTCCTTACATACTTTAAAGATGTCACTCCATCAACTTGCTTTCACAGTTTCTGACAAGAAGTCTGTTCCTCTTTATGAAATGATTTTTTTACTCTGTATATCTTTGATATTTCATCTGCAATTTTGGTCTTCAGAAGTTTAAATATAGAGGGTCTTCTGCTTCCAAAATGGTGATGTGAGATAAGTTGGCTTTGCTCCCCATCATAGAAAACTAAAAACAAATATACAACACTGAGATTTTTACCAACAACAACCTAAAGCTCAAATATGAGGATGAGACAGTTCCCAGGGCCATAGAGAAGTGGAAAAATGAGTAGATGGGAGGAGAATAATAAGACTTTTACATTTGCATTACCCTTCCCCACATTCTGCTCAGCACCAACACACAGAAAATCGCCACCTAACTCACAGTTTCTTCATTGGAAGAAGTGAAATTGAGGTAACCAGTGATCTTTTCCACCTTTTTGGGTTCCCTGGCAGGAGACTTTTTTTTTTGCCTTAAACCACAGGAAGCATCATGAGTGCCCCAAAGAGAAATATCTCTGAGGACAGGCAGGGACAAAGCGGGTAGGTAGGACTACCATCCCCATCCCTGGGGACTCTGCTTTGTAACTTGGCCAAAGGAGACACCAAATCAGAGTGGCTGTTCAGTGGCACTATGCTGCAGGAGGTATGGTTCACAGGTCCCTGAACATGAACCCCTGGTCAGCCTTTCCACACTGCCAGATAATCCCTTTGGATCTCCCCTATTTGGAACAGGCAATGCTCCAACTATTTAATAGAGCCGTGGCAAATGTGAGCTTAAGGAACTATCTAGAGCTGAACAGGAGGCAGAGACATAGTGGTAAAGGTTTACTAAGCAAATATACTAAATGAAAACCAAAACAAGCCAGTCAGAGAATTTGGGGATTAATAACTAATCCTAAAATGCAAAGACATAAATAAAAACTCACAAGAAACAATAACAAACAAGGAACCACAAACTCCCCAAAAGGACAAAGAAAAAATCCAGTGACTGACCCTAACAAGAAGGTGATTTGTCAGCTCTCTGAACAAGAGTTCAAAATAGCAATTTTAAAGAAACTTAGTGATCTTTAAGATAACACAGAAAAGCAATTCAAAAATGTATCAGAAAAATTGAACAAAGAGATTAAAATTAAAAAAAAAACACACAGCTGAGAACTGAGAAATGCATATGCTGAACTGAAGAACTCTTTAGAGGCTCTAAATAGCAAAATGAACTAAGCAAAAGAAACAATGAATGAACTCAAAGACCTGCTATTAGAAAATACACAGTCATAGAAGAAAAAAGAAGAAAGAATGAAAAGGAGCAAAGACTGCCTGCAAGATATTTAAAAATTACATTAAAAGACCAAATCTAAGAATTAATGGTGTTCAAGAGGCATCTGAACAAGAGCAAGGGGAAGAAAGCTTATTTAAACAAATAATAGAAAACTTTCCAAAATTAAAAATATAAATATCAATGTATAGGAAGATCTTAGAACACTAAACAGATTCAACCCAAAATAAGGCTACCCCAAACATATAAGAATCAAATTCTCAAATGTCAAGGACAAAGAGAAGATTCTAAAAGCAGCAAAAGAAAAGATGCAAATAACACCTAAAGGAGTTCCAATTTGTCTTGCAACAGGCTTTTAAATAGAAACATACAGGCCAGGAGGGAGTGGAACAACATTTTAGGGTGCTTAAAGAAAAAAAAAATAACTGCCATGTGAGAAATGGTATCCAGCAAAATTATAATTCAGATATGAAGGAGAGATAAACTCTTTCCTAGACAAACAGAAGCTGAGAAAATTCAGCACCACTAATCCTTTCGTATAAAAAAATACTAAAGGGAGTTCTTCAATCTGAAAGAAAATAAAAACACTAACATGTGAAAGGAAACTTTTCAAGGTATAAAGCCCACTGGTAAAATAAAGTACATGGACACACTCAGAATACTCCATCACTGTTTTTGTGGTATGCAATTCCTCATAACTATAGTATGAAGCTCAAAAGATTAATCTATCAAAAACAATAATAGCTACAGCAACCGGTTAAGAGACAGGTACTATAATAATATGTAAACTGAGACAACTAAAAGTAAAAATATGGGAGTTGGGCGGGGATGGAGTTAAAGCGTAGAATTTTTTTGTGTATTTGTCTTTGCCTGTGTTTCTATTCTTTTGTTTGTGATCTAAGATAAGTTGTCATCTCTTTAAAATAACTTGCTGTAAGATTTTTTAAAATAGCCTCATGGTAACTGCAATGCAACAACCTATAATAGATTCACAAAAATAAAAAGGAACAAACTAAAAGATATTCCCACTTAACCACAAAGGAAGATAGTAGGAAAAGAAGGGGGGAAGAGAGATGTCCCAAAACAACCAGAAAACAAGCAACAAAATGGCAGTAGTAAGACCTTACTTATCAATAGTAACACTTAATATAAATGGCCTCAGTTCTCTAATTCAAAGGCACAGAGTGACTGAATGGACAAAAAAGCAAGACCCAATTATATACTGTCTTCAAGAACCCTAGTCACCTATAAAGACACACATAGGCTGAAAGTAAAAGGGTGGAAAAAATATTTTATGCAACTTGAAAAAAAAAGAGAAGAAATAGCTATATGTAGATGAAATAGACTACAAATCAGAGACTATAAAAAAAGACAAAAAAGTCACTATCCAGTTATAAAGCGGTCAATACAGCAAGAGGATATAACAATTGTAAATATCTATGCACCCAACAAAGGAGTTCCTAGTATATAAAGTAAACATTAATAGGTCTAAAAGGAGAAATAGACTGGAATACAATAATGATAGGGGACTTTAACACCCCACTGTTACTAATGGACAGATCATCCAGACAGAAAATCAACAAAGAAACATTAAACTACATACTAAACCTAGTAAACCTAACTAATATTTACAGAACATTTCATCCAACTGCTGTAGAATACACATTCTTTTAATCAGCACATGGAACATTCTCCAGAATAGACCGTATCTTAGACCACAAGACAAGTCTAAACAAATTTAAAAACAGAAATCATATCTGGTGACCTTCCTGACCACAGTGAAATAAAACTAGAAATCAAAAAACAAGGGGGAACCTCTGAAAATACACAAACAAATGGATATCAAACAACCGGATCCTGAATGAGCAATGGATTAATAAAGAAATTGAGAAGAAAATTTAAAAATTTCTTGAAATAAATAAAAATGAAAATGCAACATATCAAAATCTATGGGATACAGAAAAAGCAGTACTAACAGGGAAGTTTATGGCAATAAATGCTTACATCAAAAAAGTAGAAAGACTTCAAATAAACAACCTAATGATGCATCTCAGTGAACTAGAAAAGGAAGAATAAGCCAAACCCCAAATTAGTAGAAGGAAATAGATAATAAAGATCAGAGCAAATATAAATGCAATTGAGACAAAAGTTATAGATCAATGCAATAAAAATTTGTATTTTTAAAAGATAAAATTAACAAACCCTTAGCTAGACTAAGAAGAGAAGAGAGAAGACTTAAATGAATAAAATCAGAAATAATAAAGAAAATATAACTGATGCAGTCAAACCCCAAGACTGGGGCTCAGCTTGGGAGGGTTCTTGGTTTTACTCAGGAATGAATTCAAGAGTGAGCTGAGGGTGAAACAAAGTAAGTTTATCTGAGCAACAGTGTATAGAAAAATGGCTGCTTCATAAACAGATTAGGGATATCCCATAGGCAGAGTAGCACTCAGATTGAAGGCTAGTTATATTTACACCTACTACTAATTATATACTAATTAAGGGGTGGGTTATTTACAAACTTTCTGGACAAAGGGCAGGGAGTTCCTAGAACCATATAAATTGACTTCCAGGTTGTTGCCATGACATTTATAAACTGTTGCTGGTGGGAATGTCTTATGAAAATACATTGTAATACCTAGTCCTACCTGTTTTTGTCTGGCTTCTTTGCTACAACCTGTTTTGTTCAGCAGGGTCATGACCAGTGCTCAGAAGACAAACCCTGCTGATCTCCTACCTGGTAACAAATGAGACCTCAGAAGTACAAAGTGTCATTAGAGACTATTATGAGCCACTACAAACCAACAAGTTGGAAAACTTAGAGGAAATGGATAAATTCCTGGACATATACAACTTACCATGATTGAAGAATGATGAAATAGAAAACCTCAATAAACAAATTACAAGTAATGAGATCTAAGCCATAGTAAAAAATCTCTCATCAAAGAAAAGCCCAGGACCAGATGGCTTCACTGCTTAATTTTACCAAACATTTAAAGAAGAACTAATACCAGTTCTATTCAAACTTTTCAAAAAAATGGAAAAGAAGGAAATACTTGCAAACTCATTTCTGAGGCTGGAGTTATCCTGATACTGAAACCAGATAAAGATACAATAAAAAAAGAAAAATAGAGGCCAATATCCCTGATGAACATAGATGCAAAAATCCTCAACCAAATGCTAGCAAACTTAATGCAACAACATATTAAAAAGATCATTTACCGTGATCAAATAGGATTTGTTCCAGAGATACAAGGTTAGTTCAACATATGCAAATCAGTAAATATAATACTTCATATTACAGAATCCAGAACAAAAACCATATGATTATTTCAATAGAACCTGCAAAAGCATTTGATAAAATTCGGCACCCCTTTATGATAAAAACCCTCATCAACATGGGTAGAGGAGGGACATAGTTTTAGAAAAGGCCACATATGACAAACCCACAGCTAACATCATACTCATGGGGAAAATGTGAAGACCTTTCCTCTAAAGACTGGAACAAGACAAGGATGTCCACTTTCACTGCTATTATTCAACATAATAGTGGAAGTCCTTGCCAGAGCAATTAGACAAGAGAAAGAAATAAAGGGCATCTTTTATTAAAAGGAGTCACATTAGCCTTGTTTTGTTGGCATATAGTTGTTCATAATTCAGTAAAGTTGCAGGATACAAAATCAATGTACAGAAATCAGTGCATTTATATGCCAACTGTGAATAATCTGAAAAACATAAAGAATGCAACCTCATTTATGACAGCTATAAAAATATAAAATACCTAGGAATCAGTCTAGCCAAATAAGTGAAAGATCTATATAAGAACAACTGTAAAACTCTGATGAAAGAAATAGAAAAAGACACAAAAATGGAAAGCTACTCAATGCTCTTGGATTGGAAGAAATAATAGTGTAAAATGATAATACTACCCAAGGAAATACACAGATTCAATGCAATCTGTATAAAAAAATGACATTCTTCACAGAAATAGAAAAAAAATCCTAAAATTTATATGGAATAACAAAAGTTCCTGAACAGGCAAAGCAGTCCTGAGCAAAAACAGCAAAGCTAGAAGCCTTACACTACTTGACTTCAAACTTTGCCACAAAGATACAGTAACATCATAGAATTGGCATAAAAATAGACTCCTAGACCAATGGAACAGAATACAGTATCCAGATATAAATGCATTCATTTACAATTAACTCATCTTTGAAAGGAGTACCAAGAACATACAATGGGAAAAGAAAATCCTTTTCAATAAATTGTGTTACGAAAATTACATGAAAAAGAAAAAATCTACACCTCTATCTTTCAGCATACACAAAATTTAAATCAAAATGTATTGAAGACTTAAATATAAGATCTGAAACTATGAAACTACTAGAAGAAAATAATGGAGAAATGTTCTAGGACGTTGGTCTGGGCAAAGATTTTTTTGGCATAACACCTCAAAAGTACAGGCAACTGAAGTAAAAGAGACAATTGGGATTTATTTAGTAAATAAAGCTAAAATACTTCTAAAAAGCAAAGGGAGCAATCAACAAAGTGAAGAAACAATCCACAAAATGAGAGAAAATATTTGCAACTATCCATCTGCCAAGGGATTAATAACAAGAATATATAAGGAACTCAAACAACTCTGTAGGAAAAAAATCTAATAATCCAATTAAAGAAGGGAAAAAGATCTGAATAGACATTTCTCAAAAGAAGATATACAAATGGCCAACAGGTATATAAAAAATGCTTAACATCACCTATCATCAGAGAAATGCAAATCAAATCAAAACCACAATGTGACGTTAAGTCATCCCAGTTAAAATGGCTTGTATCAAAAAGTGGCAATAACAATAACACATGCTAGCAAGGATATGGAGAAAGGGGAAAGGGGAACCCTCATACATTGTTGGTGGGAATGTAAATTGGTACAGACACTGTGGAGAACAGTTTGGAAGTTCCTTAAAAAACTAAAATTAGAGCTATCATATAATCCAGCAATTCCAGTACTGGGGTCTTATCTGAAAGATAGGAAATCAATGTATCAAAGAGATAGCTGCACTCCCATCTTTATTGAAGCACTATTCACAATATCCAAAATACAGATTCAAGCAGTGTCCATCAATGAATGAGTGAATCAAGAAAATGTGCTACATATACCCAATGGAATATTATTCAACCATAAAAAAGAATGAAATCCTGTCATCTGTAGTAACATGGATGGAAATGGGAGGTCATTATGTTAAGTGAAATAAGCCAAACAAAGAAAAACAAATATCGCATGATCTCATTTATATGTGGGAGCTAAAAAAGTAGAACTCATGAAGATAGAGAGTAGACTGATGGTTACCAGAGGCTGGGAAGGGAAGGGAGTAGACAAGGATAAAAGGAAATAAAAGAATATGAATGTATTTATTACCACTAAACTGTACCCGTAGAAATGGTAAAGATAGTAAATTATATGTATGTATACATATATATCCTTAATAAAAAATAAAAAATAAATATTATTCTGAGTATTGGTATTTGTTTTGATTCTGGTTCTCTGAGCTTATTGGAGGTGAGGTTTAGTGTCTTTTAATATTTCTTCAAAATTCTTGACCACTGTCTCTTCAGATATACGCCCCCATCCTCTATGTTTTCCCTCTCTAGGATTCCAGTTACACATATATTAACACATTTGGTATTATTCCACAGCTTTAGATGCTCTATTTTGCCTCTCTACCTTTTTTTAAACCTTTTTTCTTTCTTTGTGTTTCAGTGTAACTTCTTTTGACCTGTCTTCAAGTTCAGTGATTCTTTTCTTAAAACTGTCCAGTCTGTTAAAAAGTCTGTCAAAACAATTGTTCATCTCTTTTATCATGTGTTTTATTTCTAGCACTTCCATTAAATTTTTTTTTTTGCAGTTGCAAGATTTAATAGAGTGAAAACAGAGCTCCCATAAAATGGGAGGGGACCCTAAAGGGGTTGCTGTTGCTGGCTTGAATGCCTGGGTTTATATCCCAATCATTGTGCACTCAAGCATTATATCCCCCTGTGCTCTCAAGCGATAGATGATTGGCTATTTCTTTACCTCCTGTTTTTGCCTAATTAGCATTTAAAAAAATTTTTTTTATTATACTTTAAGTTCTAGGGTACATGTGCACAATGTGCAGGTTCCTAATTAACATTTTAGTGAGCTCTCTTTACTACCTGATTGGTCAGGTGTGAGCTAAGTTGCAAGCCCTGTGTTTAAAGGTGGATGTGGTTACCTTCCCAGCTAGGCTTAGGGATTCTTAGTCAACCTAGGAAATCCAGCTAATCCTGTCTTGCAGTCCCCCCGCTCAACAGGAAAACCCAAGTGCTGTTGGGGAGGTTGGCTGACGACTGCTCTAACTGCTTCCTGCTGAATTGGGGCATAGTAGGGGTTGTGCAGTTGAGATTTCCTCGGGAGGGGTGCCTTCGATGTCATCAACATCGGAGTATGGAATAGCAGGCCGGTCCAGGGGACCATGGTAGATCTTAGTCATGGACTGCATCTGCGGCTCCATTTGAAGAATGATTTATAGTTCACAGCTTTGATTCTGGAAGAGACAAACTTAGCAAGGAGGTTAAAGATACAGGGATTGAAATGGCCTGCAGTGCAGGGAATTATTTCTTTGGCACACTTCACAGGCCCTGACTATCTGCTTGACAGTTTTGAAAAGACCTGGTCCAGTAAATAATAATTTGGCCATCTGATGGGTGCTATCAATGCCTAAGTGAAAGGTTTGGTGAAGGGTTTTAAGTAATTTCCATTGATTAGCTGCAGGCAAAAGTATTTTTCCTTCTTCAGTGGCTAGCCATCCCGAGGGGAGGAAACTGTGTCTTCTTGAGGCTCCCCATTCAATTTATCCTGTTGAGTACTGGGGCTTGGTTTCCCAGAGGGGATTACCCCATATTAGGGGTCCTTCTATAAACATTTCTAATGGAGGGTCCCACCTTGTGGCTCTTTTGGCTTCAATATCTGCTTGGCGGTTCCCTTCTATTCTTTCCTTTCCTTTCTCCTGACCCCGGCAGTGTAAGACTGCCACCTCTTTAGGTGGCATGTACAGCCAATAATAATCTCCTGATGGCTTCCTGATGTTTGATAGGTGTTCCCTCGGAAGTTAGGAATTCCTTTTCTCTCCATATTGCTGTGTGGGCATGGAGGACTAGGTAAGCATGCTTAGAGTCTGTATATATATTTACCCTTTTTCCTTCTCCTAATTCTAGTGTATAATGGCCCCTGCTTTTCCTAGGATGTCTCTCCCTAACAGAGGAGTGGGGTTTTCAGGTATAATTAGAAAGGCATGTGAAAAGAGTAAAGTTCCTCAGTCACAACTTTGTGGCTGGGAGAAGTATCTAGTGACTGCGTGTCCTAGGACCCCTCAGATAGTGACAGATCTGGAGGACAGTTGTCCAGGACAGGAGAATAAGACCGAGAAGGCCGTGCCAGTGTCCAGGAGACAGTTAACCTTCTGGCCCCCAACGCTCAAGCATACCCAGGGCTCTGTGAGGGTGATGGCATGGGCTGGCACTTGCCCCGGGCACCCTCAGTCCTGCTGCTGAATCATCTGGTTAGTGGCTTCTGACTCAGAGGACCTTCGTCCCCTGGGGCAGTGGGCCTTCCAGTGATTCCCTTGACATAAGGGGCATGGACAGGGGGAGGCTTATTTCTATTTGGACAATCTTTTTTAAAGTGTCTTTGTAGACTGCACTGGAAGCAATCCCTATTAGGCATTCAATTTGCCCAGGCTTTCCGTGTTCCAGAGCCACCAAAGTCCACTTGCCTGAGGGCCATGACTCAAGCAGTGGCCTTTTTCTTATGTCGTTTGTCCCATTCTGCCTGTTCCTCCTGATCTCTATTATAAAAAACCAAGGTTGCCAAGTTCAATAGGGTTTCTAAGTTTTGCTCTGGACCTAAGGTGGACTTTTGAAGTTTTTTTTTTTAATGTCTGCAGCTGACTGAGTGATAAACTTATCCTTTAAGATTAGTTGGCCTTCAATAGAGTCAGGTGAGAGAGAGGTATACTTCCTCAATGCCTCCCTTAGTCTCTCCAGAAAGGCAGTAGGATTTTCTTCCTTTCCCTATGTTATAGGGGACATCATTGAATAATTTATAGGCTTCTTCCTAGTTTTCCTTAGTCCTTCTACCACGCAAGTTAGTAAATGTCTGCAGCACCAATCTCCTTGTTCTGATTCTGTGTCCCAATGATGGTCTACACTGGGAACTGCCTGCTGGCCTGTGGGGAGTTGTTCTCTTTCCTCTGTTGTCATCCTATCATTGACCTGACTGAGATAACAGAGATCGCCAAACTCTCTGGCTGCAGTTATGGCAGCACTTCTTTCATTTGGGGTTAGTGTCTGATCTAGCAGTAACATTATATCTCTCCATGTCAGATCAAAGGACTGTCTTAACCCTTGTGAAACATCAATATAGCCATCAGGGTTATCTGAGAATTTACCTAGGTCTATTTTAATTTGCTTCAAGTCTGACAGGAAAAAAGGTACGTACACTCTGGCTGGGCCGAATTCTCCAGAATACATCTTAGGGGTGTTTTTGCCTTGGGGGGGAACGTTTCCCATCTGAAAAAAAACAGGGGATGCCAGTACCCCTAGTCATTTTCCAATAAGCATTAGTCGTAGAGTGTCCTCTAAGGTCCTAATGCTTATTCTTTTCCAGGGTGCGTAAACACCCATGGACCTCTGCTTATCGGATTAGTTATGCTCACTGATGTAGCAGTCCTGCACCTGTTTTCCCACCTTTCTTGACCACAAAGAAAGGGGTCTGGGCTGCTGGATTCTAGTGGTCCTTTACTAGCCTGCCCAACGTTGCCTTTGTGCTCAGAGATGAGTTCTAGAGCTGGGCTAGGTTCCTGAGTATTTCATAACAACCCAGACGCCCCATCAAGATGCACTCCCATAAACAACTGTTCTTATGCAAATTCATTTCAGAGAAGGTATAGGTAACCTTTTGAGTCAGGATTGGGATAAAGTCTTTTTGATTCTGTAAGTACTTTAAGGCTTGGCTGAGTGCAAACAGCTTGCACGCACGTTTGAGCAGACCAATTATTAGGCAATTCTCCTAACTGCTTCCAAAAGAGTCTCCCTATCAATTACTGAACACCCATTGTGTTTTTTACTCAATCACCTGAGAGGAGCCATCTACCCTTCTGTTCTGAAGGGAGTTCCTTCTAGGTCTGGTCGGACCTTTGTATGGTAATTAAGATTTAAATCCCCTGTTAGGAAATCTGCTGGGTTAAGGGAATTTTCAGTGGTTAATGTTAAATCACCTTTTTCTAACAGAATAGCCCCATACTTTAAGATTTTTGAGTTAGTAAGCTACCTTTTTCTTTTTTGACTTAGAATAATTCTGAATTGGTGAGATGTGCTCACAGTGAGGTTTCCTCTAAAAGTTATTTTTCTACTTTCTTCTGTTAGCAAAGCAGTTGCCGCTACAGATTGAATGCATTTGGGCCATCCGTGGGTTCCTGGGTTAAGGATTTTTGATAGGAAGGCTACTGGTTGTCAGTGGTCTCAGTGTTTTCAGGCTATGCCCTTGTTTACACTGACAACAAGGTAGTATTGGAGTGTTATAGGGTCATAGAGAAGACTTTCCATGATGAATTATAGGTTTTAAATTTACCCTGGCTTTTAAAGGAATAAGGCACACTGTTTTTTCTTTACTACTTCTATCTCTCTTTTTCTCTCTCTCCCTCTCTTTTCTCTCTTTTCTCTCTCTCTCTCTGTCTCTCTCTCTCTGTATCTTCCCTCCTTGACTTACTCAATTTGCTTTCATCCTAATCTCTTACGTTTTCATAGACCCAGTTCCAGTTGTTAAAGTACTGGGTTATCAGTTCTAAGGCCCTGGCCAAGGAGCCAAGGCTTGGAGATTGTATTGCAGAGGGGTAAGCTGGGTAGAAATCAGGGGAGGAGAGCATCTTACAAATGGGAGAGCAATCCTCCTAGCCATTTGCAAACTTGGGGCCCTGGCAAGGGTGGTGGGGAATGGGTCCCACATAACTGCCCATATTGAGGGCTGTATGCCTAAATTGAGAGGGACACCAGGGACAGGACTCTCTGGGTTCATAGCCTAGATGCCTAAGGACACAGTGTAGAGCTTCCTTAGATCACTTTGGAAATACAACTTGCTCTAATACTTGGGAGAGGAAATGAAAGTCTGAACCATTGGTACCTAGGAGGCAGGGATCAGAGGAAGTAGACTCAGAGGTAAGTAGAATTTTGGGGCTACATTTTCAAGAAAGTCATGGTCGGAACCCAGGAGGTAAGGGTCAGACAGAAAGTTAGGGGTGCACGCATGGGCAACTGTTGAGTAGAGACTTCTGGCTGCACCATGATCTCAACCAGCTAATGCCAGGAGTTTGGGATGACACCTTTCTGCCTCTAGTCGGCCCTTGGCTTCCCCAGGAAAATTGAAAGTGGAAGCTGGTTCTAGGCAGACCAACACTCCCAACCCAGAAGGGTTGGGGATTGCTAGAAAGCCCTTTCCCAGATAGCCTCACACCTGAGTCTTAAGTCTGGCGGCTATGCTAATCATTTTTAACTGGCTGATGGGTGCCCAGTGTTTTCCTCCAATTCTAAGGAAGGATAGGACAGAATAGCAAGCAAAAGTGGTCCAATATTACTCACTGCTTTGGAGGTCCCTTCATGGTCGCCAAAATGTTACCGGGTGGTCCTTGTTCTTAGAGCTCCCAAGATGGTGGTGGGCCGCTTCCAAGATGGCGGCAAGCCTCTTGTTCTCTGACCTGGGGTTCTTGGCCTCATGGATTCCAAGGAATGAAATCTTGGGCCATACAGTGAGTGTTATAGCTCTATTAGAAGCCATGGGTCGTGGAAGAGAGCTGTGGAACCCAGTGACTAGTGTTTTGCTCAATTAGGACAAACCTTCTCCATGGGTAGATGGTTAGTGCTGATTATTCAGTGTTTTCTAGACCGGCATTGGGGGCAGTGTTTTCCTGTACTGGCCAAGCACCACCCTAGTTTAAACAAGGTTCACCAATAAGTTTTTAATTTGGTTTGAAACTGAGAAAAAAATCATACATTTAAGAACACTATATAACACTAAAATTAAGGAAATGCAGAGAAAACCTGTGAAATACTACATAAGAAGGCCAACCCCAAGACACACAGTCATCGGATTCTCCAAGGTCAAAATGAAAGAAAGAATGTTAAAGGCAGCCAGAGAAAAGGGGAAGATCACATACAAAGGGAACCCCATAACACTAACAGTAGACCTGTAAGCAGAAACCCTACAAGCCAGAAGAGATTGGGAGCCTATTTTCAACCAAGAATGTCATATCCAGCCAAACTAAGCTTCATAAGTAAAGGAGTAATAAAATCCTTTTCAGATAAGCAAATACAAAGGGAATTTAACACACCTGCCTTATAAGAGGTCCTGAAGGGAGTGCTAAATATGCAAAGAAAAGACCATTATCAATCACTACATAAGCACACTTAAATACATAGACCAGTGACACTATAAAGCAACAACACAAAGAAGTCTGCATAATAACCAGCTAACAATATGATGACAGGATCGAATCCACACATATCAATACTAACCTTGAATGCAAACAGGCCAAATGCCCCAATTAATAGACACAGAGTTGGCAAGTTGGATAAAGATGCAAAACCCAGTGGTACGCTGTCTTCGAGAGGCCCATTGTACATGAAATAACACCCATAGGCTCAAAGTAGAGGGATGAAGAAAAATCGACCAAGCAAATGGAAAACAGAGAAAAGCAGGGGTTGCTGTTCTAATTTCAGAAGAAACAGACTTTAAAATAACAGAGATTAAAAAAAAGACAAGAGCATTATGTAATGGTAAAGGGCTTGATTCAACAAGAAGACCTACCTATCCTAACTATATATGCACCCCACACAGGAGCATCCAGATTCATAAAGCGAATTTTTAGAGACCCTCAAAAAGATTAAGACATCCCACAATAATAGTGAAAGATTTTAACACCCCACTGACAGTATTAGATAAATCATCGAGGCAGAAAACTAACAAAGATGTTTGGACCCAAATTCAACACTTGACCAAATGCAACTAATAGACATGTACAGAACTCTCCACCCCCAAACAACAGAATATACATTCTTCTCATCTGCAGATGACACACACTATAAAATTGACTACGTAATTTGGCATAAAACCATCCTCTGCAAATTAAAAAAACAACAAAAAAATCATACTTACCATATTCTTTGGACTACAGTGCCAAAAAAATAAAAATCAATGCTAAGAAAATCACTCAAAACCATACAATTAAGTGGGAATCAAACAACATGCTTCTGAATGACTTCTAGGTAAATAATGAAATTAAGGCAGGATTCAAGAAATTCTTTGAAATGAATGAGAGAAAAAGGATAAACATACCAGAAGCTCTGGGAAACAGCCAAAGCATGTTAAGAGGGAAGTTTACACTACTAAGTATCCACATCAAAACTTTAGAAAGATCTCGATTTAACAAACCAACATCACAACTAGAGGAACTAGAGAAACAAGGGAAATTAACCTGAAAGCTAGCAGAAGACAAGAAATAACCAAAATCAGAGCTGAACTGAAGGAAATTAAGACACACACACACACACACACACACCCCCGTACAAAAGAACAGTGAATACAGGAGCTGTTCTATGAAAGAATTAATAAGATAGACCACTAGCTAGAATAATAAAGAAAAGAAGATGCAATTAAATGCAATCAGAAACAACAAAGGGGACATTGCCACTGAACCCACAGAAATACAAAACACCCTCAGACTCTATTATAAACAGCACTATGCACACAAGCTAGAAAACCTAGAAGAAATGGGTACATAAAGAGGATATCACCACTGATCCCAAAGAAATACAAACTACCATGAGATAATACTATAAATACTTATATGCAAATAAACTAGAAAATCTAGAAGAAATGGATACATTCCTGGACACATACACCCACCCAAGACTAAACCAGGAAGAAGTTGAATCCCTGAATAGACCAATAACAGGTTCTGAAATTGAGGCAACAATTAATAGCCTACCAACCAAAAAAAGTCCAGGACCAGACAGATTCACAGCCAAATTCTACCAGAGGTACAAAGAGGAGCTAGTACCATTCCTTCTGAAAGTATTCCAATCAATAGAAAGAGAGGGAATCCTCCCTAACTCATTTTATGAGGCAAGCATCATCCTGATACCAAAGCCTAGCAGAAACACGTCAAAAAAAAATAGAATTTTAGACCAATATCCCTGATGAACATTGACGCAAAAATCCTCAATATAATACTGGCAAACCGAATCCAGCAGCACATCAAAAAGCTTATCCACCACGATCAAGTTGGCTTCATCCCTGGGATGCAAGGCTGGTTCAACATACTCAGATCAATAAATGTAATCCATCATATAAACAGAACCAAAGGGAAAAACCACATGATTATCTCAATAGATGCAGAAAAGGCCTTCAACAAAATTCAACAGCTTTCATGCTAAAAACTCTCAATAATCTAGGTGCTGATGGGATGTATCTCAAAATAATAAGAGATATTCATGACAAACCCACAGCCAATATCATACTGAATGGGCAAAAACTGGAAGCATTCCTTTGAAAACCGGCACAAGACAGGGCCGCCCTCTCTCACCACTCCCATTCAACATAGTATTGGAAGTTCTGGCCAGGGCAATCAGGTAGGAGAAAGAAATAAAGGGTATCCAATGAGGAAAACAGGAAGTCAAATTGTCCCTGTTTGCAGATGACATGATTGCATATTTAGAAAATCCCATCATCTCAGCCCAAAATCTCCTTAAGCTGATAAGCAACTTCAACAAAGTCTCAGGATACAAAATCAATGTGGAAAAATCACAAGCATTCTTATACACCATTAACAGACAAAGAGCCAAATCATGAGTGAACTCCCATTCACAATTGCTTCAAAGAGAATAAAATACCTAGGAATCCAACTTACAAGGGATGTGAAGAACTTCTTCAAGGAGAACTACAAACCACTGCTCAACGAAATAAAAGAGGACACAAACAAATGGAAGAACATTCCATGCTCATGGATGGGAAGAATCAATATGGTGAAAATGGCCATAGTGCCCAAGGTAGTGTATAGATTCAATGCCATCCCCATCAAGCTACCAATGACTTTCTTCACAGAATTGGAAAAAACTACTTTAAAGTTCGTATGGAACCAGAAAAGAGCCTACATAGCCAAGACAATCCTAAGCAAAAATAACAAAGCTGGAGGCATCACACTACCTGACTTCAAATTATACTGCAAGCCTACAGTAACCAAAACAGCATTGTACTGATACCAAAACAGAGATATAGATCAATGCAACAGAACAGAGGCCTCAGAAATAACACCACACATCTACAACCATCTGATCTTTGACAAACCTGACAAAAAGAAGAAATGGGGAAAGGATTCCCTGTTTAATAAATGTCGCTGGGAAAACTGGCTAGCCATATGTAGAAAGCTGAAACTATGTCCCTTCCTTACACTTTATACAAAAATTAATTCAAGATGGATTAAAGACTTAAATGTTAGACCTAAAACCATAAAAACCCTGGAAGAAAACCTAGGCAATACCATTCAGGACATAGGTATGGGCAAGTACTTCGTGACTAAAACACCAAAAGCAATGGCAACAAAAGCCAAAATAGACAAATGGGATCTAATTAAACTAAAGAACTTCTGCACAGCAAAAGAAACTACCATCAGAGTGGACAGGCAACCTACAGAATGGGACAAAATTTTTGCAATATACCTATCTGACGAAGGGTTAATATCCAGAATCTACAAAGAACTTAAACAAATTTACAAGAAAAAATCAAACAACCCCATCAAAAAGTGGGCAAAGGATATGAACAGACACTTCTCAAAAGAAGACATTTGTACAGCCAACAGACATATGAAAAAATGCTCATCATCACTGGTCATCAGAGAAATGCAAATCAAAACCACAATGAGATACCATCTCACACCAGTTAGAATGGCAATCATTAAAAAGTCAGAAAACAACAGGTGCTGGAGAGGATGTGTGGAAATAGGAACACTTTTACTCTGTTGGTGGGAGCGTAAACTAGTTCAACCATTTTGGAAGACAGTGTGGAGATTCCTCAAGGATCTAGAACTAGAAATACCAACTGACCCAGCAATTCCATTACAGGGTATATACCCAAAGAATTATAAATCATGCTACTGTAAAGACACACATGCACATGCATATTTATTGTGGCACTATTCACAATAGCAAAGACTTGGAACCAGCCCAAAAGTCCATCAATGATAGACTGGATTAAGAAAATGTGACACCTATACACCATGGAATACTATGTGGCCATGAAAAAGGATGAGCTCATGTCCTTTGTAGGGACATGGATGAGGCTGGAAACCATCATTCTCAGCAAACTATCGCAAGGACAGAAAACCAAACACCGCATGTTCTCACTCATAGGTGGGAATTGAACAATGAGAACACTTAGACACAGGGTGGGGAACATCACAGAGCCTGTGTGGGGTGGGGGGAGAGGGGAAGGATAGCATCAAGAGAAATACCTAATGTAAATAATGAGTTAATGAGTGCAGCACACCAACATGGCACATGTATACATATGTAACAAATCTGCATGTTGTGCACATGTACCCTAGAACTTAAAGTAGAATTAAAAAAATAATAATTAATTAAAAAAAGAAGTTAAAAAAACAGAAAGGATGAGTAAAACCTAGTATTTGCTAGCACAACAGGGTGAGTGTAGTCAACAATAATTTAACTGTACATTTTAAAGTAACTAAAAGAGTATAATTGGATTGTTTGTAACACAAGGGATAAATGACATGATGGATACCCCTGTTTTATGTGATGTGATTATGCATTCCATGCCTGTATCAAAGCATCTCATGTACCCCATAAATATATACACCTATTATTTACCCACAAAAATTAAAAAATTAAAAACAAAAACAGCAACAAAAAAAGAAAATTTCAGGCCAATATCCTTAATGAATGTTGATGCAAAAATCCTCAATAAAATACTGGCAAACCAAATCTAGCAGCACATCATGAAGCTTATCCAACACGATCAAGTTGGCTTCATCCCTGGGATGTAAGGTTGGTTCAACATATGCAAATTAATCAATGTTATTTATCATGTAAACAGAACTAAAGGCAAAAACCACATGATTATCTCAATTGATGCAGAAAAGGGCTTCAATAAAATTCAACATTGCTTCATGTTAAAAACTCTTACTAAACTAGATATTGAAGGAACATACCTCTAAATAATAAAAGCCATATATGACAAACCCACAGCCAACATCATACTAAATGGGCGAATCTTGAAAGCATTCCCCTTGAAAAGTGGCTCAAGACAAGGAGGCCCTCACTCACCACTCCTATTCAACATTTGAGACTCCAGAAAATCCTGATTCAAAGGTCAACACTCTCAAAAATCAAAGGTAGATAAACCCACAAGGATGAGAAATAATCGATGCCAAAACACTAAAAACTCAAAAAGCCAGAGTGCCTCTTCTCCTCCAAATGACCTCAACACCTCTCCAGCAAGGGCACAGAACTGGGCTGAGGCTGAGATGGTGGAAACGTAATTGAGGTTTTTGCATTGTTGAAATTTGCATTTGATATTGGAATACATTCCTAAGTAAATGTGGTTATGTTATATATCATTTTAATGCATTTTTCTTGCTTTATCCATGTTTTTTTGCAAATGACTTCTTACTTGCTGTTTATTTTATATTTATCTTAGAGTATGGAAATGATGTTAGACAAAAAGAAAATTTGAGCGATTTTCTTATTCGAGTTCAAAATGGGTTGTAAAGCATTAGAGACAATTTGCAACATCAACAGCACCTTCGGCCCAGGAATGACTAATGAGTGTACAGTGAAGTGGTGGTTCAAGAAGTTTTGCAAAGGAGACGAGAGCTTTGAAGATGAGAAGCATAGTGGCCGGCAATCAGAAGTTGACAACGACCAATTGAGAGCAATCATTGAAGGTGATCCTCTTACAACTACATGAGAAGTTGCTGAAGAACTCATTTGGCATTTGAAGCAGGTGAAAAAGCAGGTGAAAAAGCTTGATAAGTGGATGCCTCAGGAGCTGAGTGAAAATAAAAAATATCATTTTGAAGCATCATCTTCTCTTATTCTATGCTACAAGGAATCATTCTCAATCAACTTGTGATGTGTGATGAAAAGTGGATTTTATTCAACAACCGGTGATGACCAGCTCAGTGGTTGGACTGAGAAGAAGTGCCACAGCACTTCCCAAAGCCAAACTTATACCAAAAAAAGTTCATGGTCACTATATGGTGGTTTACTGCTGGTCTGATCTACTACAGCTTTCTGAATCCCAGTAAAACCATTACATTTGAGAAGTATGCTCAGCAAATTGATGAGATGCACTAAAAACTGCAATGCCTGCAGCCAGTATTGGTCAATAGGAAGGGCCCAATTCTTCTCCACGACGATGCCCGACTGCACATTGCACAAACAATGCTTCAAAAGTTGAATGAATTGGGCTACAAATTTTTACCTCTTCCGTCATATTCACCTGAGCTCTTGCCAACTGACTACCAGTTCTTCAAGTATCTCAACAACTTTTTGAAGCACTATTTATAATAGAAAAGGCATGGAATCAACCTAAATGCCCATCAATTATAGATTGAATAAAGAAAATGTGGAACATATATACAATATGGAATACTATGCAGCTAGAAAAAGGAATGAGATCAGGTCCTGTGTAGGGACATGGATGGAGCTGGAAGCCATTATCCTCAGCAAACTAACACAGAAGCAGAATACCAAATACTGCATGTTCTCACTTATAAGTGGGAGCTGAATGATGAGAACACATGGACACATGGGGGAAAACAACATACACTGGGGCCTGTCAGAGGTTGGAGTGGAGGGAAGGAGAGCATCAGGAAGAATAGCTAATGGGTGCTGGGTGTAATACCTAGGTGATGGGATAATCTGAGCAGCAAACCACCATGGCACTTGTTTACTTAGGTAACAAACATGCATGTCCTGTACATGTACTCCTGACTTAAAAGTTCAAGAAAAAAATTAAAAAATTACAAACCTGTCAGGGTAGAGTGGCTCATGCCTGTACTTCCAAGTCTTTGGGAGGCGGGGGTGGGAGAATTACTTGAGGCCATGAGTTTGAGACCAGCTTGGCCAACATAGCAAGATCTCATCTCTACAAAAAATAGTTTTTTAAAAATTAGCCAGGGGTGGTGGTATATACCTGTAGTTCTAGCTACTCCAGATCAGAGGCTGAGGCAGGCAGATGGCTTGAGCCCAGGAATTCAAGGTTACAGTGAGCTATGATCATGGCACTGCACTCTAGTCTGGGTGACAGAGTGAGACCATGTCTTTAAACAAAACAAAGCAAAACAAAACAAAACAAAAACCTGCATATATCCCAGAGAACTGACAACTTACATTCACACAAAAAGCTATACATTAATCTTCATAGCAGCTTACTTGTAATAACCAAAACCTGACTGAAATGCCTTTCAAAGGGTGAATTAATAAACAAACTGCGCAATATTCATGTAATAGAATACTACTCAGCAATAAATATGAACAAAATATTTATACTACATGGATGAATCCTCAAGGAATTATGCTGATTGAAAATCCCAAATGGTTACATACCATATGATTCCATTCAGATAATCTTACTGAAACGACAACATTTACAAATAGAAACAGATTAATAATTTCTAGGTGTCAGAGATGGGAGATGAGGAGCAATGGAAAGGAGTAAAGTGAGTGTGACTATGAGAGGGCAAACTAAGGAACCTTTGTGGTGATGACATTATTCTGTATCTTGATTGTATCAATGTCAATAATCTGGTTGTGCTATTGTACTGTAGTTTTGGAAGATGTTACTATTGAAGGAAACCAGGCAAAGAATGCACAGGATCTCTTCCTATTATTTTTTTAAAATGCATATGAATCTGTGATGGTCTCAAAATATAAAATTTAATTTTAAAAATCCATTATTTGCTATCTGACCCTTAAAAATTATTTATATTATATATTTAATTTATATATTATATTAATTATATTTACATAAAATATAATTTTATATATATATAATTTTTAAGGGTCAGATAGCAAATATAATGGATCTTTTAAATTAAATTTTATATTTTGAGACCATCGTGGATTCACATGCAGTTTTATAGAAATAAATAAATATATATAAAATATATAAAATATGCATGTAAAATTATCTGGTGGATATGCAGCCCATCCTTTCCTCTAGATGGCAGTTCTCAAAGAGTTCTCTACAGAGACCTTTTCGGAGCATTTAAGTGTCAATACTATTTGCATATTAATACAAAGGCCAATTATACTAAGTATACACTAACGTAGGTATTACTAATGTAGGTATACTAATGTAGGCACCTTGGAGATATTGTGGGTTCAATTCCAGACCACCACAATAAAGCAAATATCGCAATAAAGCAAGTCACATTAAAAAAAAGAAGTACTAGCGATTTTTGTACATTGATTTAGTATCCTGAGACTTTGCTGAAGTTGCTTATCAGGTTAAGAAGCTTTTGTGCTGAGATGATGGGGTTTTCTACATATAGAATAATGTCATCTGCAAACAAAGATAGTTTGGCTTCCTCTCTTCCTATTTGAATGCACTTTATTTCTCTCTTGCCTCATTGCCCTGGCCAGAAATTCCAATACTATGCTGAATAGGAATGGTGAGTGAGGGCATCCTTGTCTTGTGCTAGTTTTCAAGGTAAATGCTTCCAGCTTTTGCTCATTTCAGTGTGATGTTCTCTGTGGGTTTGTAATAGATGGCTCTTATTCTTTTGAGGTATGTTCCTTCAATATATAGTTTACTGAGAGTTTTTAACATGAAGGGATGTTGAATTTTATCAAAAGCCTTTTCTGCATCTCAAGATGGATTAAAGACTTAAATGAAAAACCCAAAACTATAAAAACCTGGAAGACAACATAAGCGATACCATTCAGGACATAGGCACTGACAAAGATTTCATGACAAAGATGCCAAAAGCAATTGTAACAAGAACAAAAATTGACAAATGAGATCTAATTAAACTAAAGAGCTTCTGCACAGCAAAAGAAACTCTCAACAGAATAAACAGATAACCTGAAGAATGGGAGAAATATTTTGCAAACTATACATCTGACAAAGGTCTAATATCCAGCATGTATAAGGAACTTAAACAAATTTATAAGAAACAAACAAACAACCCCATAAAAAAGTGGACAAAGGACATGGACAGATACTTTTCAAAAAAAGACGTACATATGGCCAACAATCATATGAAAAAAAGTTCATCACTGATCATTAGAGAAATGTAAATCAAAACCATAATGAGATATCACCTCACACCAGTCTGAATGGCTATTACTAAAAAGTCACAAAAAAAACAGATGCTGGTGAGGTTGTGGAGAAAAGAAAGTGATTTTACACTGTTGGTGGGAGTGTAAATTAGTTCAGTCATTGTTGAAGACAGTGTGGCAATTCTTCAAAGACCTAAAGACAGAAACACCATTTGATCCAGAAATCCCATTACCGGATATATACCTAAAGGAATGTAAATCATTCTGTTATAAAGACACATGCATGTGTATGTTCATTACAGCACTATTCACAATAGCAAAGATATGGAATCAACCTAAATGCCCATCAATGATAGACTGGATAAAGAAAATGTGGTACATACTTAGAAATAGAATTACTCGGTCATGTGGTAACTCTAAACTTTTTGAGGAACTGCCAAATTGTTTCCCAAAGTGGCTACACAATTTTACATCCCCACTAACAGTGTATGAGAGTTCTAATTTCCCTGTATCCTTGTTAACATTTGTTATTGTCTGTCTTTTTGATTATAGCCATCCTGAGAAGTGTTAAGTGGTTTCTAAATGTGATTTCGATTTGCATTCCCTTAGTGACTAATGATGGTGGGCATCTTTTCATGTATTTATTGGCCATTTGTATATATGCTTTGGAAAAATGTTTATTCAGATTCTTTGCACACTTAAAATTTTGGAGGGAAAATTATTAATTCACTAATAATTATGTAGATTTATCAGGTACAGTGTGATGTTTTGATCTATGTGTACATTACAGAAATGTTCAATTAAGGTAATTAATGTATCCATGAACTCACATATTTATTGCTTTTTTTGGTGAGAACATTAAAAATCTAGGTAAGCAATTTTGAAATATACCACACATTATTACTAACTGTGGTCACTATGCAGTTTAATATATTACTGAAACTTATTTTTCGAATCTAACTAAAACTTTGTATCCTTTGAACAACATCTTCCCTTTCTTGCTTTCTCCCTCTTACCCTTAGCCTCAGGTAACCACCCTTCTACTCTCTGTTTTTATGAGATTGATTTTTTTAGATTCCACATATGTGTAAGATCATGTAGTATATGTCTTTCTGTGTCTGGCTTATTTTACTTAAAATAATGTCTTCCTGTACCATCCATGTTGTTGCAAATGATAGAATTTCTTTCTTTTTAGAAGCTGTTTAGTATTCCATTGTGTATATATATCATATTTTCTTTGTCCGTTCATGTGTTGGTGGAATCTTAAGTTGATTCCATATATTGGCTATTATGAATAATGCTGAAAATGGGAGTGCAGATACCTCTTCAACATATCAGTTTTATTTCCTTTGGATACTGATATGGTTTGGCTGTGTTCCCACCCAAATCTCACCTTGAATTGTATTAATCCTCTTGTGTCAAGGGCAAGGCCAGGTGGAGATAATTGAAACATGGGGACAGTTTCCCCCATGCTGTTCTTGTGGTAGTGAATAAGTCTCACAAGATCTCATAGTTTTATAAATGGGAGTTCCTCTGCACAAGCTCTCTTGCCTGCTGCCATGTAACACCTTACTCTGTTCCTCATTCTCCTTCTGTCATGATTGTGAGGCCTCCCCAGTCATGTAAAACTGTGAGTCAATTAATCCTCTTTCCTTTATAGAGTACCCAGTTTCAGGTATGTCTTTATCAGTATCATGAGAACAGACTAATACAGTACCTTGGTACCAGTAGAGTAGGGTGCTGCTGATAAGATACTCAACAAGTATGGAAGTGACTTTGAAACTGGGTGACAGGCAGAGATTGAAATAGTTTGGAGGGCTCAAAAGAAGACAGGAAAATGTGGGAAAGTTTGGAACTTCCTAGAGACTTGTTGAATGTTTTTGACAAAAATGCTGATAGTGATATGGACAATAAGGCCCAGGCCAAGGTGGTCTCAGATGGAGATGAGGAGCTTGTTGGGAACTGGAATAAAGTTGATGCTTGTTAGGTTTTAGCAAAGAGACTGGTGGCCTTTTGCCCCTGTCCTAGAGATCTGTGGAACTTTGATCTTGAGAGAGATGATTTAGGGCATCCCAGGGAATAAATTTCTAAGCAGTGAAGCATTCAAGAGGAAGCAGAGCAGGAAAGTTTGGAAAATTTGCAGCCTGATGATGCAATAGAAAAGAAAGCCTTATTTTCTGGGGAGAAATTCAAGCCTGCTGCAGAAATTTGCATGAGTAATGAGGAGCCAAATGTTAATCTCCAAGACAATGGGGAAAATGTCTCCAGGGCATGTCAGAGACTTTTGTGGCAGCTCCTCCCATCACCAGCCCAGAGATCTAGGAGGAAAAAATGGCTTCCATGGCTGGACCCAGGGGCCCCCTCCTGTGTGCTGCATCAGGACCTGATGCCCTGTGTCCCAGTTGCACCAGCTATGGCTATAAGGGGTCAACGTACAGCTCAGGCTTTCAGATGTTACAAGTCCCAAGCCTTGGTGGCTGTATTAGTCTGTTTTCATGCTGCTGATAAAGACATACCCGAGACTGGGTAATTTATAAAGAAAAAGGTTTAATGGACTTACAGTTCCTCGTGGCTGGGGAAGCCTCATAATCATGGTGGAAGGTGAAAAGCATGCCTTACATAGTGGCAGGCAAGACAGAATGAGAACCAAGGAAAGGAGCTTCCCCTTATAAAACCATCATCCGATCTCATAAGACTTATTCACTACCACAAGAACAGTATGAAGGAACTGCTCGCATGATTCAATTATCTCCCACCAGGTTCCTCCCACAACACATAGGAATTATGGGAGCTACAGTTAAAGATAAGGTTTGGGTGAGGACACAACCAAACCATATTTATTTTGTATCTGGCCCCTCCTAAATCTCATGTCCTCACATTTCAAAACCAATCATGCCTTCCCAACAGCCCCCCAAAGTCTTAACTCATGTCAGCATTAACTCAAAGTCCACAGTCCAAAGTCTCATCTGAAGCAAGGCAAGTCCCTTTCACCTCTATGAGCCTGTAAAATCAAAAGGAAATTAGTTACTTCCTAGATACAGTGGGGGTACAGGCATTGGGTAAATACAGCCATTCCAAATGGGAG
This sequence comes from Homo sapiens, assembly GCF_000001405.40. Classification (NCBI taxonomy): domain Eukaryota; kingdom Metazoa; phylum Chordata; class Mammalia; order Primates; family Hominidae; genus Homo; species Homo sapiens. The sequence goes on along the minus strand of NC_000002.12, from coordinate 31,616,604 downwards.
AAATTGGGCAAAACAAAGGGGGCTGCAGGCCCCATGGAAGTCTAAAATTCAGTGGGGCAGTCATATCTTAAAGCTCTGAAACGATCTTCTTTGGCTCCATGTCTCATATCCAGGTCATGCTGATGTAAGAGGTGGGCACCTATGGCCTTGGGTAGCTCTGTGCCTGTGGCTTTGCAGGGTACACCTCTCCTCCTGGCTGCTTTCATGGGCTGGCATTGAGTGTCTATTGCTTTTCCAGGTGCACGCTGCAAGCTGTCAGTAGATCTACCATTTGGGATCTGGAGGATGGTGGCCCTCTTCTCACAGCACCACTAGGCAGTGCCCCAGTTGGGACTCTGTGTATGGGCTTCAACCCTACATTCCCTTTCCACACTGCCCTAGTGGAGGTTCTCCATGAGGGTCCCACCCCTGTAGCAAACTTCTGCCTGGACATCCAGGCATTTCCCTACATCCTCTGAGATCTAGGTGCAGGTTCCCAAACCTAAATTCTTGACTTCTGTGCTCACCCCTGTAGCCAACTTCTGCCTGGACATCCAGGCATTTCCATGCATCCTCTGAGATTTAGGTGCATGTTCCCAAACCTAAATTCTTGACTTCTGTGCACTGGCAGGCTCAACAACACATGGAAGCTGCCAAGGCTTGGTACTTGAACCTTCTGAAACCATGGCCTGAGCTGTATCTTGACCCCTATTAGCCATGGCTAGAGCATTTGGGATGCAGGACACCAAGTCCCTAGGCTGCACACAGCAGGGTGGCCCTGGGTCTGGCCCATGAAACCATTTTTTCCTCCTAGGCCTTTGGGCCTCTTGATTGGACAAGCTGCCATGAAGACCTTTGACATGCCTTGGAGACATTTTCCCCATTGTCTTGGGGATTAACATTTGGCTCCTCATTACTTATGCAAATTTCTGCAGCTGGCTTGAATTTCTCCTCAGAAAATGGGGTTTTTCTTTTCTATCACATTGCCAGGCTGGAAATTTTCCAAAATTTTATGCTGTTTCCCTTTTTAAAACTGAATGCTTTTAACAGCACCAAGTCATGTCTTGAATGCTTTGCTGCTCAGAAATTTCTCCTGCCAGATACCCTAAATAATCTCCCTCAAGTTCAAAGTTCCACAGATCTCCAGGGCAGGGGGAAAATGCCACCAGTCTCTTTGCTAAAACATAGCAAGAGTCACCTTTACTCCAGTTCCCAACTAGCTCCTCATCTCCATCTGAGACTGCCTCAGCCTGGACCTTATTATCTATATCACTATCAGCATTTTGGTCAAAGCCATTCAACAAGTCTCTAGGAAGTTTCAAACTTTCCCACATCTTCCTGTCTTCTTCTTAGCCCTCCAACCTGCTCCAACCTCTGTTACTCAGTTCTAAAGTCACTTCCACATTTTTGGGTATCTTAACAGCAGCACCCCACTCTACCATTACCAATTTACTGTATTAGTCTGTTCTCATGCTACTGATAAAGACATACCTGAGACTGGGTAATTTATTATTATTTTTTAAAAAGAAATTTAATAGACTCACAGTTCCACGTGGCTGGGGAGGCCTTACAATCATGGCAGAAGATGAAAGGCATGTCTTACATGGTGGCAGGCAAGAGAGAATGGGAACCAAGTGAAGGGGGTTTCCCTTTATAAAACCATCAGACCTCATGAGACTTATTCACTACTATGCAAACAGTATGAGGGAAACTGCCCCCATGATTCAATTTTCTCCCAGTGGGTCCCTCCCACAACACATGGGAATTATGGGAGCTACAATTAAAGATAAGATTGGGATGAGGACACTGCCAAACCATATCATTGGCTTACATGGTACTAGGTGTGCAGGTGCACAGAAGTCAAGAATTAAAGTTTTGGAACTTCCGCCTAGATTTCAGAGGATGTATGGAAATGCCTGGATATCCAGGCAGAAGTTTTCTGCAGTGACAGAGCTCTCATGGAGAATCTCTGCTAGGGCAGTGTGGAAGGGAAACATGGGGTTGAAGCCCCCACACAAGAGTCCTGACTGGGGCACTGCCTAGTGGAGCTGTGAGAAGAGGCCACTGTCCTACGGACCCCAGAATGGTAGATCCACTGACAGCTTGCCTGTGTACCTGGAAAAACCACAGACACTCAATGCCAGCCTGTGAAAGCAGCCAGGAGAGGAGCTGTACCCTGCAAAGCCACAGGGGCAGAGCTGCCCAAGGCCACAGGAGCCCACCACTTGCATCAGCATGACCTAGATGTGAGATATGGAGGCAAAGGAGATAATTTTGCAGCTTTAAGATTTGATTGCCCCACTGGACTTCGGACTCATATGGGACCTGCAGTCCCTGTGTTTTGGATAATTTCTCCCATTTGGAATGAGTGTATTTATCCAATGCTTATGTCCCTACTGTATCTAGGAAGTAACTAACTTGCTTTTGATTTTGCAGGCTCATAGGCTGAAGGGACTTGCCATGTCTCAGATAAGACTTTGGACTGTGGACTTTTGAGTTAATGCTGAAATGAATTATTACTTTGAGGAACTGTTGGGAAGGCATTATTAGTTTCAAAACCTGAGGACATGAGATTTGAGAGGGGACAGTTGCAGAATAATATGGTTTGCTGTGTTCCCACCCAAATCTTATCTTGAATTGTAATCATCCCCACATGTCAAGGGTGGGGCCAGGTGAAGATTAGTGAATCATGGGAGTGGTTTTCCCTATACTTTTCTTGTGGTAGTGAATAAGTGTCATGAGATCTGATGGTTTTATAAATGAGAGTTCCCCTGCACATGCTCCCTCCTGCCTGCCACCATGCAAGACATGTCTTGCTTCCCCTTTGCCCTCCACTGTGATTGTGAGGACTCCCCAGCCATGTGGAACTGTGAGTCCATTAAGCCTCTTTTTCTTTATAGATTACCCAGTCTTGGGTATGTCTCTATTAGCAGAGTGAGAACAGACTAATTCAGGTACATACCCAGAAATGGAATTGCTGGATCATATGAATATTCCATTTTTAGTTTTTTGAAGAACTTCCATACTACTTTCCAAAATGCCTATAATAATTTATATTCTCACCAACAGTGCACAAGGGTTTTATTTTCTCCACATTCTTTTCAACATTTGTTATCATTTGTCTTTTTGAGTAATAACCATTCTAAAAGATGTGAGGTGATATCTCATTGTGGTTTTAATTTGCATTTCCCTGATGACTAATGATATTGAGCATTTTTCATATATCTGTTGGCTATTCATATCTCTTCTTTTGAGAAATGTCTGTTCAGACTCTTTGCTCATTTTTTAGTTGGGTTTTGCTTTTTTATCCATTGAGTTGTTTGAGATTCTTGTGTGTTTTTTTATATTGGTTCTTTATCAGATGTATGGTTTGTAAATATTTTCTCCCAATCTGTGGGTTGTCTCTTTATTCTGTTGTTTCCTTTGTTGTGCAGAAGCTTTTTAGTTTGATACAATCCCGTTTGTATATTTTTGCTTCTGTTTCATGTACTTTTGGAGTCCTATCCAAGAAGTCATTAACCAGCTCAATGTCATGAAGTTTTACCCTTCTGTTTTCTTTCAGTAGCTTTACAGTTTTAAGCCTTATGTTTCAGTCTCTTATTCATTTTAAGTTAATTTTTGTATATGGTATGAAATAAGGGTCCAATTTCATTCTTCTGCATGTGGATGTCCAGTTTCTCTACACCATTTATTGAAGAGACTGTTCTTTCCCTATGGTGTGTTCTTGGCACCTTTGTTGAAAATCAATTAACTGCAAATATTTAAGTTTATATCTGGGCTTTCTATCCTGTTCCCTCGGTCAAAATGCCTTTTTTAAATTCCAATAGCATGCTGTTTTGATTACAGTAGGTTTGTAATATATTTTGAAATCTGTCAGTGTGATCCTTCCAGCATTGTTCTTTTTGCTCAAGATTGCTTTGGGCGTTTACAGTCTTTTGTAACTCCGTATAAATTTTAGGATTGTTTTTTCCATTTCTGTGAAAAATGACATGGAATTCCAATACAAATTGCATTAAATATGCAGATTACTTTGGTTAGTGTAGACATTTTAACAATATTAATTCTTCCAATCCATGAACATGAACTATATTTCTTTTTACTTCTATCTTCAATTTCTTTCATCAATGTTTTATCATTTTAAGTATACAAATCTTTCAGCTCTATGGCTAAATTTACTCCTAAGTATGTTATTTATTTTTTGATGCTATTGTAATTGAGATTTTAAAAATTCTTTGGATAGTTCACTGTTAGTGTATAGAAACACTACTGACATTTTTGTTGTTGTTGTTGCATGACTCAATAGTTTATTCTTTTTTCTTTCTCTCTCTTTTTTTTTTTTAATTTTGAGACGCAGTCTTGCTCTGTCACCCAGGCTGGAATGCAGTGGCATGATCTCAGCTCACTGCAGACTCTGCCTCCTAGGTCCAAGTGATTCTCATGCCTCAACCTCCCATGTAACTGGGACTGCAGGCAGGTTCCACCATACCTGGCTATTTTATTTTTTATTTTTAGTAGAGTCAGAGTTTCACCATATTGGCCCAGCTGGTCTAAAACTTCTGGCCTCAAGTGATCCACCTGCCTTGGCCTCCCAAAGTGCTGGGATTACAGGAATGAGCCACCACACTCAGCCAGTTTATCCTTAATATATACTGTTAAGTTGTATTTCATTGTATGGATATGCCCCAACTTGTTTTTCTATTCTCCTATATTCAGATAGTTGAGTAGTTTCCAGTTTTTTACTATTATGAATAAAAATGTTATGAACATTCACGTACAAGTCTTTTTTTGGAAACATGCTTTCATTTTTCTTGTGTAAATAAGTAGTGAAATTTCTGGGTCTTAGGGTAGATGTCTATTTAACTGTATAAAAAATAGCCAAACAGTTCTCCAAAGTGGTTGTACCATTTTGTACTTCCACCCAGCAATATATGAGGGTTTTACTGCATATTATCTTCATTTGGCATTATCATTTTAATCCTGCTAGTAGGTGTGAAATTATGTTTTTAATTTGCAGTTTCAGGATTATGTTGAGCACTTTTCATACTTAATTGGTGTTTTGTATCTCTTATTTTGTGAGTTATCTTTTTAAGTCTTTTGCCTATTTTTATAGGGCTAATGGTTTTCAAAATTTTAATTTGTAAGCATTCTTTATGTATGATGGATACATATCCTTTGTAAGATATTTGTATTGTAAGTATTTGTTTCTAATCTGTGGATTATCAATTCAGTTTCTTAATGGTGTCTTGAGTTTCAGAATTGTTTTTTATTTTGACAGTGCTGCAGTTACTACGGTTGCATAACAAACGATCCCAAATTTTTTGGCTTAAAATAATGACAGCATTTATTTTACTCATGAATCTATAATTTTGGTAGGACTCAGTATGGATAGCTTGCTTGTGTTCCCTTTGATGTCATCTGGGTGGCTTAAAGGCTGGGGGCTAAAATCATCTGAAAGTGTATGTCTAGAAGTTGATTCTGACTACTGACTTTATCTTTTTTTAATTATTATTATTTTTTTAGATGGAGTCTTGCTCTGTCACCTAGGCTAGAGTGCAATGGTGCAATCTTGGCTCACTGCAAACTCTGCCTCCTGGGTTCAAGTGATTCTCCTGCCTCAACCTCCTGAGTAGCTGGGATTACAGGTGCTCGCCACCAGGCCTGGCTAATTTTTGTATTATTTAGTAGAGATGGGGTTTCACCATGTTGGTCAGGCTGGTCTCAAACTCCTGACCTCAGGTGATCCACCCTCCTTGGCCTCCCAAAGTGCTGGGATTACAGGCATGAGCCACCGTGCATGGCAACTACTGACTTTTGTATGTTGATTTTGTAATCTGAAACTTTATTGAATTTGTTTATCAGTTCTTATAGGTTTTTGGGGGAATCTTTAGAGTTTTCTTCATAAAAGGTCATGTCATCAGCAAAAAAAGATAATTTTACTTTTTCTTTTTCTGTGTGAATGCTTTTTATTTCTTTTTCTTGTCTAATTGTTTTGGCTAGGACTTCCAGTACTATGTTAATTAGCAGTGGCAAGCGTGGGCATCTTTGTATTGTTCTTGATCTTAGAAGAAAAGCTTTTAACCTTTCAGCATTGAGTATGATAGCTGTGGGCTTGTCATACATGACTTATATTATGTTGAGGTACATTCTTCTCTACCTATTTTTTGAGAGTTTTTAAAATATAAACAGTTGTTGAATTTTTATCAAATTCTTTTTCTACTTTGTTGATATCATATCACATTTATTGATTTACATATGTTGAAGCATCTCTTCATCCCTGGGATAAATTATGCTTGATAATGGTAAATGATGTTGGTAACGTCCTGATGAATTTAGTTTGCTAGCTTTTTTTTGGTTGTTGAGAATTTTTGAATCTGTCTTCATCAGTATATTGGCCTGTAGTTTTCTTTCTTGTAGTATCCTTATCTGGCTTTGGTATCAGGATAATGCTGACCACATAAAATAAATTTGAAAATATTCCCTCCTCTTCAATTTTTGGGAAGCATTTGAGAAACATTGGTATTAGTTCTTCTTGAAATGTTTAGCAGAAATTAACAGTGAAGGCTTTGGGGTCCTGTGTTTTTCTTTGATGGGAACATTTTTATTATTGATTCAGTCTCTTTATTTGTTATTGGTCCGTTTAGATTTCTATTTCTTCCTGATTCAGTCTTGGCAGGTTGCAGGTTTCTAGGAATTCATCCATTTCTTTTTTTGCCATCTTTAAAATTGGGCTATTTATCTCTTCATTATTGAACTTGAATTAAAAAATACATATCCTAGATACTAGGTCCTTATCAATGATATAACTTGTAAATATTTCTCCCATTTTGTGGGCCATCTTTTCACTTTCCTGATGGTAGTGTTTTCAGAATGAAAGTTTTTTTCTGAATGAAGGCTTTGGTCCCACCTAAGAAACCACTGCCTAATTTAAAATCATAAAGATTTACACCTATGTATTCTTCTAAGAGTTTTATAGTTTTGACTTTTACACAATGTGTTTGATCCACTTTGAGTTAATTTTTGCATGTGGGGTGAAATAAGGGTCCTATTTTATTTTACTTTCTGCATCTAGCTATCTGGTTGTACCAACATCATTTGTTAAAAAGACTATTCTTTCCCCATCGAATGATCTTGACAACCTTGTTGAAAATCAGTTGACCATAGATGTATACATTGACTTTTGGACTCCTAATTCTATTCCATTGATAAATGTATCTATTTTTATGTTAGTACCACACTATCTTTATTATTGTTATTTTGTACTAAGTTTTATAATTGGGTAATGTGAGTCCTTCAGTTTTTTTTTCTTTTTAAAGATTATTTTGTCTATGCTATATCAACTTTCCTGTTTCTGAAAAAAGTCAGCTGGGATTCTGACAGGGATTGAAGTGAATCTGTAGATCAGTTTGAATAGTATCTTAGTTTGCTCAGGCTGCTGTAACCAAATATCATAGACTGTGTGGCTTAAAAAACAGGAATTTATTTTTCACATTCTAGAGAGTGGAAATCCAAGATGAAGGTGTCAGTGGACTCAATGTCTGGTGAGGGCTTTCTTCTTGGGTTGCAGATGGCGATCTTCTTATTGTGTTCTCATGTGGTAGAGAAAAAGATCTCCCTCTTTCTCTCTTAGAAAACTAAGGCCACAGTCCTATTGGATTTGGGCTCTACTCTTATGATCTTACTTAACCTTAATTACCTCCTAAAGACTGTATTTCCACATAAAGTCACATTGCAGGTTAAAACTTCCACATATAAATTTTGGTAGAACGTAATTTAGTCCATAGCGGGCAGTATGATTTCTAACAATAGTAAGTCTTCCAAACCGTGGACATGGGATATCTTTTCACTTATTTAAGTTTTCTTTAATTTCTTTCAACAATGTTTTGTAGTTTTTAGTGTACAAGTCTTGCACTCCTTTTGTTAAATTTATATCTAAGTATTTTGTTCTGTTTGGTGCTATTGTAAATGGATTGTTTTTGTAATTTCATTTCAGGTTTTCTTTTCTAATGTATAGGAATACAACTTATTTTATATATTAATCCTGTATTTTGTAACCTTATTGAATTTATATATTATTTCTAATTTTTATTTTCAGTATCTTTTAAACAAGATCATAATCATGCCATCTGAAAATACATAGCTTATGTCTTTCTTTCCAACAGTTCCAACCATTTACTTCTGTGTTTTGGTTTTCCTTTCCTGCCCCCGTTTTGTATTATTCTATTATTTTTTAGATTTTATCTTAATTTTCCTGTTGAATTTTAGTTATTGTTTATAATTTCATTTTATAGGGGTGCTTTAGAGATTTCAATATACATTCATAACTTTCACAGTATATAATTACAATGCACTACTGCACATAAAAAATAGAAATCTTACCACTTAGTAAATTCATCTCTCTATCTCTTATGATATAATTGTATATGTGGTACACCAACATATATTATAAATTTTATAAGACAATGTTATAATAAAATTATAAACAGTTATATGATGTCTTAGTCAGTTTGGGCTGCTATAATGGAATACTATAGGCTGGTCAGCTTAAACAGCAAACATACATTACTTGCAATTTTGGAGTCTGGGAATCCAAAGGTCAAGGTGCCAACAGGGTCAGTGTCTGGTGAGGGCCTATCTTTCTGTAGATGGCTGTCTTCTCATTGTACCGTTACATAGCTGAGAAAGAGAGATCATTGTCTTCTTACAAGGGCACTAATGCTATTCATGAGGGCTCCACCCTCATGAGCTAATAATTACCTCCCCAAATCTCCACTTCCTAATACTATCACACTGGGGTGGGGTGAGAATTTCAGTGTATGAATTTTGGAGGATACAAACATTCAGTTCCTAACATATGGATTACATAATTTTAAGACGAAAATAAAAAAATATATTTTGTTTGTTTTTGCATTTACGCAGATGTCAATTTCTGATGCTCTGCAATTTTTGCTGAGGACACACTTTCATCAGGATTCTTTTCCTTTTAGCCAGAAGAACTTTAACATTTATTGAGTGTAACTATGAATCCTCTTATATTTTGTTTATCTGAAAAAGTCCTTATTTTGCCTTCATTACTGAATGATATTTTTGCTGGATATAGGTAAAATGCTGAGCTTTTTTTTTTCCAGTATTTTAAGAATGTTCCACTTTCTTCTCATCTATAGGTTTTATGATGAGAAATCAGCTGTTGATCAGAATGCTGCTTCTGTAGACAATATGCTGTTTTTCTATTACTGACTTTAAGGTTTCCTCTTTGTCTTCACCCTTCCATATTTAAATATAACGTGCTTCAGTGTGGGCTTCTTTGTGTTTTTCTCTTTGTTGCTTATTGAGAACCTTGAATCTGTAAACTTTTGCCTTTTATCAAATTTGGAAATATTTCAGTCATTATTTCCTTGCAAACTTTTTAATTGGTCTTTCTTCTCCTTTTAGTAATTACAGCTACATATACATTTGACTGTTGGATTTCATCTATAAGATAACTGATGCTATGTTTTTTTCCAACTTTTTCTAATGACATATCTTTAAATTATCACTTCTCTTCTTCCTTATTCAACTATTATGTCTAATTCATAATTTTTTATTTCAAAAATTATTTTGGTTCTAGAATTTCCATCTTAAAAATTATTTTTACATCTCTGCTGTGATTTCTCATTTCTCTGTTGAGATATTCATGAATTGAAAGCATGTGAAAGATTATCCATCACAACCCTCAGAGGAACCATTGCTTTTGACACATTGATCTCAGACCTCTAGCCTCCAGAACTGTTAGAAAATAAATTTCTATTGTTTAATTGACCCAATTTGTGACAGTTTGTTACAGCAGCCTTAGCAAGCTAATATGGGCTGATTGTTTATGCCAACGATGTGACTCAGAATGGAGATGATTAGAGGGGTGGGGCTTTGAGCAACATAGTATCAGCCTGACTTTTGCAAAGGGAAAGTGGCTAGAGACTGAGTTCAGTCACATGGGTAATGATTCAGTCTGTCATCCGTACATAATAAAACCTTACTAAAAATGCTAGACACTGAAGCTCGATTGAGCTTTCCTGGTTGCCAATATACTGCATATTGTCACACTCAGATGCTGGGAAGGTAGTGCATACTGACTGCATGGGGAAAGAACAAGGAAGTTTCATGTTTGAGACTCCCCCAGACTTCACTCTCTACCTCTCTTCCTTTCTATTTTTAATTTTTGTGGGTACATGATAGTTGTATATATTTAAGGGGTACAATGTTTTGATATAGGCATGCAATGCATAATAATCATATCATGGCAAATGGGGTGTCCATACCCTCAAGCATTTATGCCTTGTGTTACAAACAATCCAATTATGCTCTTTTAGTTATTTCAAAGTGTACAATTAAATTGTTATTGACTATAGCCATCCTGTTGTGCTATCAATTAGTAGGTCTTACTCATTCTTTCTACATTTCGTACCCATTAACCTATCTCCTTTCCACCACCCACTACCCTTCCCAGCCTCTGGTAACCATCCTTCTACTGTTTATCTCCATGAGTTCAATTGTTTTGATTTTTAGATCTCAGAAATAAGTGAGAACATGTGATGTATGTCTTTCTGTGTCTGACTTATTTTACTTAACATAATAACCTCCAGTTCCATCCATCTTGTTGCAAATGACAAGATCTCATTTTTTAATGGCTGAATAGTACTTCATTGTGTATATGTCCCACATTTTCTTTATTAATTCATCTATTAATGGACATTTAGGTTGCTTCTAATTCTTGGATATTATGAACAGTGCTACAACAAACATGAGAGTACAGATATCTCTTTGATATAAAGATTTCCTTTCTTTTGGGTATGTACCCAGCAGTGGGATTGCTGGATCATATAGTAGCTCAATTTTTAGTTTTTTTTTTTGATCCTCCAAACTACTCGCCATAGTGGTTATATTAATTTTCAATTCCACAAACAGTGTACAAATGTTCCCTTTTCTCCATATCCTTACCAGCATTTGTTATTGCCTGTCTTTTGGATATAAGCCATTTTAAATGGGATGAGATGATATCTCATTGTAGTTTTCATTTGTATTACCCTAATGATTAATGACGTTGAGCACCTTTTTATAGGCCAGTTTGCCATTTGTATGTTTTATTTTGAGAAGTGTCTATTCAGATGTTTTGCCCATTTTTAATTGAGTTATTAGGTTTTTTTTCCTACAGAGTTGTTTGAGCTCCTTATATATTCTGGTAGTGAATACCTTGTCAGATGAACACTTTGCAAATATTTTCTTCCATTCTGTGGGTTGTCTCTTCACTCTGCTGTTTGTTTCCTTTACTGTGAAGATGCTTTTTAATTTGTGATCCCATTTGTCCATTTTTACTTTGGTTTCCTGTGCTTGTGGGTAGTACCCAAGAAATCTTTCCCTAGACCAATGTCCTAGAGAGTTTCCCCAATGTCTTCTTGTAGTAGTTTTATTGTTTGAGGTCTTAGAATTAAGTCTTTGTTTTTATTTGATTTTTGTACAAGGTGAGAGATAGGGATCTAGTTTTATTCTTCTGCCTATTGATATTCAGTTTTCCCAACACCATTTATTGAAAGACTGTATTTTCCCTGGAGTATGTTCTTGGCACTTGTGTTGAAAATCAGTTCACTGTAGGTGTGTGGGATTTGTTTCTAGGTTCTCTATTCCATTCCATTGGTCTCTGTGTCTTTTTATGGCAGTACCATGCTGTTTTGGTTACTATACCTCTGTAGTATAATTTTTAGTCAGATAATGTGATTCCTCAGTTTTGTTCTTTTTGCTTAGGATAGCTTTGGCTATTCTGGGTCTTCTGTGAATCCATATACACTTTAGGATTTTTTTTTATTTCTGTGAAGAATGTCATTGGTATTTTGACACGAATCGCATTGAATCTGTAGGTTTGCTTTGGGTAGTATGGGCATTTTAACAATATCAATTCTTCTAATCCCTGAACATGGAATATCTTTCCATTTTTTGGAGCATTCTTCAACTTCTTTCATCAATGTTTTGTGGTTTTTATTGTAGAGATCTTTCACTTCTTTGGTTAAGTTAGTTCCTAAGTGTTTAATTTTATGCATGGCTGTCATAAATGGGATTACATTTTTTGTTTCTTTTCCAGATTGTTCACTGTTGGGATATAGAAATGTTACTGAATTTTGTATGTTGATTTTGTATTCTGCAACTTAACTGAATTTGTTTATCAGATCTAATATTTTTTGTATCTAATAATTTTTGTAAATTAAATTGTTTTTAATTTTTCTAAATATGAGAACATATCATCTGCAAGCAAAAATAATATGACTTCTTCCTTTTCAATTTGGAGGCCCTGTATTTCTTTCTCTTGTCCATCCAATTGTTCTAGCTAGAAATTCCATTACTATGTTGAAGAACAGTGGTGAAAGTGGGCACCCTAGTCATGTTCCAGATCTTAGAGGAAAGACTTCAGTTTTTCCCCATTCAGTGTGATACTAGCTGTGAGTCTGTCATATATAGCTTTTGTTATGTTGAGGTATGTTCCTTCTATACCCAGTTTTTGAGCAATTTTATTATGAAGAAACATTGACTTTTTAAAAATTTCCAATTTTATTTTAAGTTCAGGGATATATGTATAGGATGTGCAGGTTTTTTACATAGATAAATGTGTGTCATGGTGGTTTGCTGCACAGATCATCCCATCACCTAGGTATTAAGCCCAGAATCCATTAGCTATTCTTCCTGATGCTCTCTCTTTCCACCCCACACCCTCTGACAGGCCTCAGTGTATGTTGTTTCCTCCAGTGTGTCCATGTGTTCTTATCATTCAGTTCCCACATGTAAGTGAGAGCATGTGGTATTTGTTTTTCTGTTCCTGTGTTAGTTTGCTGAGGATAATGGTTTCCAGCTCCATTCATGTCCTTGCATGCGACATGGTCTCATTCCTTTTTATGGCTGCATAGTATTCCGTGGTGTATATGTACCACATTTTCTTTATCCAATCTATAAATGATGAGTATTTAGGTTGATTCCATGTCTTTGCTATTGTGAATAGTGCTGCAATGTACATACACATGCTTGTATCTTTGTAAAAGAATGATTTATATTCTTTTGGATATATATCCAGTAATGGAATTACTGGGTCAAATGGTATTTTTGCCTCTAGGTCTTTGAGGAATTACTACACTGTCTTCCACAATGGTTGAACTAATTTACATTCCCACCAACAGTGTAAAAGCATTTCTTTTCCTCCTGAGCCTCTGTTATTTTTTGACTTCTTAATAACAGCCATTCTGACTGGCATGAGATGGTACCTCACTGTGGTTTTTATTTGCATTTCTCTAATGATCAGTGATATTAAGCTTTTTTTTCCACATGTATGTTGACAGCATGTATGTCTTCTTTTGAGAAGTGTCTGTTCATGTCCTTTGCCCACTTTTAATTTTTTGTAAATTTGCTTAAGTTCATTGTAGATGCTGAATATTAGACCTTTGTCAGATGGATAGATTGAAAAAATTTTCTCCCATTCTCTAGGTTGTCTGTTTACTTTGATGATAGTTTCTTTTGCTGTGCAAAAACTCTTTAGTTTAATTAGATAACATTTGTCAATGTTTGCTTTTGTTGCAATTAGTTTTGACATCTTCACCATGAAATGTTTGCCCATACCTATGTCCTGAATGGTATTTCCTAGGTTTTTTTCTAGGGTTTTTATACTTTGGTGTTTTACATTTAAGTCTTTAATCCATCTTGAGTTAATTTTTGTATCAGATGTAAGGAAGGGGTCCAGTATCAATTCTTTGCATATGGCTAGCCAGTTCTTCCAGCACCATTTACTAAATGGGAAATCCTATTCCCATTGCTGTTTTTCTTTTTTTTGTCAGTTTTGTCAAAGTTCAGATGATTGTAGGTGTGAGGTCTTATTTCTGGGTTCTCTATTCTGTTCGGTTGTTCCATGTATCTGTTCTTCCACCAGTACTGTGTTGTTTGGGTTACTGTAGCCTTGTAGTATAGTTTGAAGTTGGGTAGCATGATATCGCCAGCTTTGTTCTTTTTGCTTAGAATTATCTTGGCTACTCAGGCTCTTTTTTGGTTCCATATGAATTTTTAAATAGTTTTTTCTAATTCTGTGAAGAATGGCAATAGTAGTTTAATGGGAATAGCATTGAATGTATAAATTACTTTGGGCAGTATGACCATTTTCGCAATATTGATTCTTCCTATCCATGAGCGTGGAATGCTTTTCCATTTGTTTGCGTCCTCTCTTATTTCTTTGAGCAGTGGTTGGTAATTCTCCTTGATCCTTCACTTCCTTTGTTAGCAGTATTTCTAGGCATTTTATTCTTTTTGTGGCAATTGTGAACGGGAGTTCAGTCATGATTTGACTCTCTGCTTGCCTGTTGTTGGTGTATAGGAATGCTAGTGATTTTTGCACATTGATTTTTGTATCCTGAAACTTTGCTGAAGTTGCTATCAGCTTAAGAAGCTTTTGGGCTGAGACAATGGGGTTTTCTAAATATAGAATCATGTCATCTGCAAACAAAGTTTAAGTGAGTGAGTTCCTCTCTTCCTATTTGAATACACTTTATTTCTTTTTCTTGCCCGATTGCCCTGGCCAGAACTTCCAATACTATGTTGAATAGGAGTGGTGAGAGAGGACATCCTTTTCTTGTGTTGCTTTTCAAGGGGAATGCTTCCAGCTTTTGCCGATTCAGTATGATATTGGCTGTGGATTTGTCATATATGGCTCCTATTATTTTGAGGTATGTTCCTTCAATACCTAGTTTACTGAGAGTTTTTAACATGAAGGATGTTGAATTTTATTGAAGGCCCTTTCTGCATCGATTGAAATAATTGTGTTTTTTGTCTTTCATTCTGTTTATGTGATGAATCACATTGATTGATTTGCATATGTTGAACTCACCTTGCAACTGGGGATGAAGCCTACTTGACTATGGTGGATGAGCTTTTGGATGTGCTGCTGGATTCAGTTTACCAGTATTTTATTGAGGAGTTTTGCATCAGTGCTCAGCAGGGATATTGGCCTGAAGTTTTTTCGTTGTATCTCTGCCAGGTTTTAGTATCAGAATGATGTTGGCCTCATAGAATGGGTTAGG
Source organism: Homo sapiens (assembly GCF_000001405.40). NCBI lineage: Eukaryota > Metazoa > Chordata > Mammalia > Primates > Hominidae > Homo > Homo sapiens. The sequence continues at coordinate 31,601,551 of NC_000002.12, read as the reverse complement.
GAGGAGTCCCTCTTTTTCAATTTTTTGGAACAATTTCAGTAGAAATGGTACCAGGTCTTCCTTGTACCTCTGGTAGAATTAAGCTGTGAATCTGTCTGGCCTGGGCATTTTTTAGTTGGTAGGCTATTTACTACTGCTTAAGTTTCAGAACTCATTTTTGGTCTATTCAGGGATTCAATTTCTTCTGGTTCAGTCTTGGAAGGGTGTATGTGTCCATGACTTTTTCCATTTCTTCTAGATTTTCTAGTTTATTGCATAGAGATGTTTATAGTATTCTCTGATGGTTGTTTTTATTTCTGTGGGGTAGGAGATATCCCCCTTACCATTTTTTGATTGTGTTCCTTTGAATCTTCTCTCTTTTCTTTATTAGGTTAGCTAGTGACCTATTTATTTTATTATGTTTTCAAAAAGCCAGCTTCTAGATTGGTTGATTTTTTGAAGGATTTTTCATGTCTCTGTCTCCTTCAGTTCAGGTCTGATCTTGGTTATTTCTTGTCTTCTGCTAGCTTTGGGGTTTGCTTCCTCTTGGTTCTCTAGTTCTTTTAGTTGTGATATTGAGTTTTATCAAATGCCTTTTTAGCATGAATTGAAATGATCATATCATTTTTGTCCTTCATTCTGTAGATATAATGTATCACACTGCATATGTTTAGCCATCCTTGCATCCCTGGAAGAAATCCCACTTGGTCATAATGAATGCTATTTTAAAGTATTGTTGAATTTGGCTTGTTAGTGTTTTGTTGAGAATTTTTGCATCAATATTCATTAGAGATATTGGCTTGTAGATTTCTTTTTTTGATTCATATTTGTCTGGTTTTGCTATCAGGGTAACACTGGCCTCATAGAATGCATTTGGAAGTATTCTAGTCTCTATTTTTCAGAACTATTTGAGTAGGACTGGTATTAGTTGTTCTTTAAAAGTTTGGTGGTACATGTGGCCAACAAGCATATGAAAAAAAGCTCAACATCCACAATCATTAGGGAAATGCAAATCAAAACGAGATACCATCTCACACCAGTCAGAATTGCTATGACTAAAAAGTCAAAAAATAACAGATGCTGGTTATGTTGCAGAGAAAACAGAACACTTTTACAATGATGATGGGAATGTAAATTAGTTCAATGCTTGTGGAAAGCAGTGTGTAGTGATTCCTCAAAGAGGTGAAACCAAAATACCATTTGACCTGACAATTTCATTACTACTAGGTGTATTACCAAAGGAATATAAATCATTCTATCGTAAAGACGTGTGCACTCATGTGTTTATTGCAGCAGTATTTACAATAGAAAAAACATGGAATTAACTTAAATGCCCACAAATGGCAGACTGGATAAAAAAATGTGGCACATATATACCATGTGATACTGTGTAGCCATAAAAAGGAACAAGATCATATCCTGTGCAAGAACATGGGTGGAGCTGGAGGCCACTATACTTAGCAAACTAATGCAGGAACAGAAAACCAAATACTGTATGTTCTCACTTATCAGTGGGAGCTAAGTGATGAGAACACATGAACACATAGAGGGGAACAACAGACACTGGGGCCTACCTGAGGTGTAGGATGGGAAGAAGGAGAGGATCAGGAAAAATAACTAATGGGTAGTAGGCTTAATACCCGGGTGATTAAATATCCGTACAACAAACCCACAGGATAAGAGTTTACCTACGTAACAAACCTGCTCATGTACCTCAGAACTTAAAATTAAAAAAGAAAAAAATCTTTTACATTGTTTTCTTCATTTCATTTATTTCAGCTCTGATATTTATTATTTATTTTCTCATACTAATTTTGGGTTTGGTTTGATCTTGCTTTTCTAGTTTGTTCATTTGAAGTTTTTCCTCTGTTTTGATGTAGGCACTTATAGCTATAAACTTTCCTCTTAATACACTGCTTTTGCTATATCCCATAGGTTTCAGTATTTTATATTTTCATTATCATTTGCTTAAAGAAATGTTTCAACTTCCTTCTTAATTTTTCATTGGCCCACTGTTCATTCAGAAGCATGTTGTTTAATTTCCACGTATTTGTATAGTTTCCAAAATTCCTCTTGTTACTGATTTCTAGTTTTATTACATTGTGGTCAGAGAAAATGCTTGATATTATTTCATTTTTTGAAGGTTTTAAAGCTTGTTTTGTGACCTAACATATGGCCCATTTTGAGAATAATCCATGTGCTGAGGAAAATAAAGTATATTCTGTAGCCATTGGATAAAATGTTCCATAAATATGTATTAGATTCTTTTGGTCTATAGTGTAGATTAAGTCTGACATTTCTTGGTTGATTTTCTGTCTGGAAGATATGTTCAATGCTGAAAGTGGGGTGCTAAAGTCTCCAGCTATTATTGTTCTGGGACCTCTCTCACTTTTGCTCTAGTATTTTCTTTATGTATCTGGATGTTCCAGTGTTGGGTGCATGTATATTTACAATTGTTACATCCTCTTGTTGAATTGACCCCTTTATCATTATATAATGACCATCTTTGTCTCTTAGAATTTTTGCCTTGAAATCTTTGTCTGATATAAGTATAGCACTTCTGCTCTTTTTTGGTTTCCATTGGCATGGAATATCTTTTTCCATTCATTTATTTTCAATGTATTTGTGTCTGTATAGGTGAAGTGTGTTTCTTGTATGCAGCATATCAGTGGATCTTGTTTTTTCATCCATTCAGCTACTTTATGTCTTTTGATTGCAGAATTTACTCAATTTATATTCAATGTTATTCTTGATAAGTAAGGACTTACATCTGCCATATTTTTATTTGTTTCCTGTTTGTTTTGTGTTCTCTTCCTTCTTTCCTTCCTTCCTGTCTTCCTTTAGTAAGGATCATTTTCTCTGGTGATATGATTTAGTTTCTTGTTTTTTTATTTTTTGTTTATCTATTGTAAGTTTTTTGGTGTGAGGTTACCATGAGGCTTGCAAATACTACCAGATAACCCATTATATTAAGCGGATAACAACATTATTTGCATTAAAAAACAAACAAGAAAGCAAAAAAATAAAACTAATAGAAACTCTATGTGTTATTTTTCCCCCTTCTTTTTTTTTGTTTTTATCTTATTGTACTATGTCTTGAAAAGTTGTTGTAGTTATTATTATTATTTCTATAGTTTTGGGAAAACAGGTGGTGTTTCATTACATGGATAAGTTCTTTAATGGTGATTTCTGAGATTTTGATGCACTCATCATCCAAGCAGGGTACACTGCACCCATTATGTAGTCTTTTATTTCTCACCCCCCTTGCACCTTTCCTACCGAGTCCCCAGAGCCCATTATATCATTCTTATGCCTTTGCATTCTTATAGCTTAGCTCCTACTTATAAGTGAGAACATACAATGCTTGGTTTTTCATTCCTGAGTTACTTCATTTAAATAATGGTATCCAACTACATCCAGGTTGCTGTGAATGCCATTATTTTATTCATTTTTATTGAGGAGTAGTATTCCATGGTATATATACCACATTTTCTTTATCCATTCATTGCTTGATGGGCATTTAGGTTGGTTTCATATTTTTGCAATTATGAATTGTGCTGCTATAAACGTGTGTGCAAGTATCTTTTTGCCATAATAATTTCTTTTCCTCTGGGTAGACACCCAGTAGTGGGAGTGCTGGGTCAAATGGTAGTTCTACTTTTAGTTCTTTAAGGAATCTCCATACTGCTTTCCACAGTGGTTATACTAGTTTACATTCCCACCAGCAGTGTACAAGTGTTCCCTTTTTACCACATCCACACCAACATCTATTATTTTTTGATTTTTAAATTATGGCCAATCTTGCTGGAGTAAGGTGGTATTGCATTGTGGTTTTGATTTGCATTTCCCTGATCATTAGTGATGTTGAGCATTTTTTAATATGTTTCTTGGCCATTTGTGTATTTTCTTTTGAAAATTGTCTAATCATGTCCTTAGCCCACTTTTTGATGAGATTGTTTTTTTCTTGTTGATTTGTTTGATTTCCTTGTAGTTTCTGGATATCAGTCCTTTGTTGGATGTATAGATTGTGAAGATTTTCTCCCACTCTTTGCATTGCCTGTTTACTCTGCTGATTGTTTCTTTTGCTATGCAGAAGCTTTTTAGTTTAAGTCCCATATATTTATCTTTGTTTTTGGATTTTTACTCATGAACTCTTTGACTAAGGCAATGTCTAGAAGAGTTTTTTTTTTATTTTATCTTCTAGAATTTTTATGGTTTCTGATCTTTGAATTAAGTTTTTGATCCATCTTCAGTTGAATTTGTATTAGGTGAGAGATGCAGATCTAGTTTCATTCTTCTACATGTGGTTTGCCAATTATCCCAGCACCATTTGTTGAGTAGGGTGTTCTTTCTCCACTTTGTTTCTGTTTGCTTTGTCAAAGATCAGTTGGCTATAAGTATTTGGCTTTATTTCTGAGTTATCTATTTTGTTCCATTGGTCTATGTGTCTGTTTTTAAATCAGTACCATGACTGTAGTATAGTTTGAAGTTGTGTAATGTGATGCCTCCAGACTTGTTCTTTTGGTTTAGTCTTGCTTTGGTTGAGTGGGCCCTTTTTTGGTTCCATATTAATTTTAGTATTTTTTAAAAATTCTGTGAAAAAATGATGGTGGTATTTTGATGGGAATTTCATTGAATTTGTAGATTGCTTTTGGCAGGGTGGTCACTTTCACAATATTGATTCTACCCATCCATGAGCTTGAGCTATGTTTCCATTCATTTGTGTCACCTATGATTCCTTTCAGCAGTATTTCATAGCTTTCCTTGTAGAGGTCTTTCACGTCCTTGGTTCAGTATATTTCTATGTATTTTATTTTATTTTTTGCAGCTATTCTGAAAGGGGTTATGTTCTTAATTTGATTCTCAGCTTGGTCTCTGATGATGTATAGCAGAGCTACTGATTTGTGGACATTAATTTTGTATCCTGAAACTTTGCTGAGTTCATTTACCAGTTCTAGGAGCTTTTTGGATGAGTCTTTAGGGTTTTCTAGGTATGTGATTATATCATCAGCAAACAGTGACAGTTTGACTTCCTCTTTGCCAGTTTGGTTACCCTTTATTTCTTTCTCTTGTTTGATTGCTCTGGCTAAGACTTCCAGTACTATGTTAAATAGAAGTGGTAAAAGTGGGCATCTTTGTCCTGTTCCAGTCTGCAGGGGGAATGCTTTTTTTTTTTTTTTTTTTTTTGGTGGAGTCTTGCTCTGTCACCCAGGCTGGAGTGCAGTGGCATGATCTTGGCTCACTGCAACCTCCACCTCCAGGGTTCAAGTGATTCTCCTGTCTCAGCCTCTCAAGTGGCTGGGACTACAGCTGCCCACCACCATGCTCAGCTAATTTTTGTAAATTTAGTAGAGACGGGTTTTCACTGTATTGGTCACGCTGGTCTCAAACTCCTTGGCCTCCCAAAGTGCTGAGATTACAGGCGTGAGCACCACACCTTGCAGGAGAATGCTTTCAACTCTTCCTCAATCAATATATTGTTGGCTCTGGGTTTTCATGTATGGCTTTTATTACCTTAAGGTATCTCTCTTCTATGCTGATTTTGCTGAGGGTTTTAATGATAAAGGGATGCTGGGTTTTGTCAAATGCTTTTTCTGCCTCTCTTGAGATGATAATATGATTTTTGTTTATAAATTTGTTTATGTGGTGCATCACATTTATTGACTTGCATATATTAAGCCAACCCTGCGTCCCAGCTATGAAACCCACTTGATTATGGTGGATCATCTTTTTGATATGCTGTTGGATTCTGTTGGCTAGTATTTTGTTGAAGATTTTTGCATCTATGCTCACCAGGAATATTAGTTTGTAGTTTTCTTTATTTGTTATGTCCTTTCCTGGTCTTGGTGATAGGGTAATACTGGCTTCATAAAATGATGTAGGGAGGACTCTCTCTTTCTCTTCCTTTTGGAATAGTTTCAGTAAGATTGGCACCAGTTCTTCTTTGAATGCTGACAGAATTCACATGTGAGTCCATCTGGTCCTGGATTTTTTTTTCCCTTGGCAACTTTTTCTCACTGTTTCAATCTCAGTACTTGTTATTTGTCTGTTCAGAGTTTCTATTTCTTTCTGGTTTAATCTGGGAGGGTTGTATATTGCCAGAAATTTATCCATCCCCTTAGGTTTTTTAGTTTATGCACATAGAAGTGTTCATAGTAGCCTTGAATGATCTTTTGTATTTCTGTGGTGTCCATTGTGATATCTGCCATTTCATTTCTAATTGAGCTTGCTTGGATCTTCTCTCTTCTTTTCTTGGTTAATTTCACTAATGGTCTATCAATTTTGTTTATCTTTTCAAAGAATCAACTTTTTGTTTCATTTATCTTTTGTATTGATTTTTTCTTTCAGTTTTATTTAGTTTTGCACTGATATTTTTATTTTCTTCTGCTGGGTTTGGGTTTTGTTTGTTCTATTTTCTGTAGCTTTTTGAGGTGTGAGCTTAGGTTGTCTATTTGTGGTCTTTCAGACTTTTTGATGTAAGCATTTAATGCTATGAACTTTCCTCTTAGTACTGCTTTTGCTGTATCCCAGAGGTTTCGATAGGTTGTGTCACTATTATCTTTCAGATCAAGGAATTTAAAAAATTTCCGTTTTGATTTCATTATTGACTCAAAAATTATTCAGGAGCAGATTATTGAATTTCCATGTATTTGTATAGTTTTGAGCATTCCTTTTTGGAGTTAATTTCCAATTTTATTCTACTGCGGTATGACAGAGTACTTGCTATAATTTCAATTGTCTTAAATTTATTGAGACTTGTTTTGTGGCCTCTCATATGATCTATCTTGGAGAATATTCCATGTTCTGATGAAAAGAATGTATATTCTGCATTGGTTGGGTAGAATGTTTGTAAATACCTGTTAAGTCCATTTGTTATAGGGTATAGTTTAAGTCCACTGTTTTTTTGTTGACTTTCTGTCTTGATGACTTGTCTAATGCTGTCAGTGGAGTATTCTATTGAAGTTCCCCACTATTACTCTGTTGCTATCTATTTCATTTCTTAGGTCTGGTAGTAATTGTTTTATAAATTTGGGAACTCCAGTGTTAGGTGCATATATAATTAGAATTGTTATATTTTCCTGTTGGAGTAATCTTTTTGTCATTATATAACATCCTTCTTTGTCTTTTTAAACTGTTATTGTTTTAAAGTCTGTTTTGTCTGATATAAGAATAGCTAATCCTGCTCGCTTTTGGTTTCCATTTGCATGGAATGTCTTTTCCCTCACTTTTACTTTAAGTTTATGTGAGTCTTTATGTGTATGGTGAGTCTCTTAAAGACAGCAGATACTTGGTTGGTGGAATTTTATGTATTCTGTCATTCTGTATTTTTTAAGTGGAACATTTAGACCACTTTGCCTTCAACGTTAGTTTTGATATATGAGGTACTGTTGTGTTCATCATGCTAGTTGTTGCCTGAATATCTTTTTTATTTTTCATTGTGTCATGATTTTATAGGCCCTGTGAGATTTATGCTTTAAGGAGGTTCTATTTTGGTGTATTTTGAGTTTTTGTTTCAATATTTAGAATTTCTTTTAGCATTTCTTTTAGTGCTGTGCTGGCTTGGTAGTGGCAAATTCTCTCAGCATTTGTTTGGAAAAGACTTTATCTCTCCTTCATTTATGAAGATTAGTTTCAGTGGAATCAAAATTCTTGGCTGATAGTTATTTTGTTTAAGGAGGCTAAAGATAGGACCCCAATCCCTTCTGGCTTGCAGAGTTTCTGCTTATCAATCTGCTGTTAATCTGACAGGTTTTTCTTTATAGACTACTTGATGATTTTGCCTCACAGTTAAGATTCTTTCCTTCATCTTGACTTTAGATAACGTGGTGGCTATGTTCCTTGGTGATTATCTTTTTGCGATGAATTTCCTGGGTGTTCTTTGAACTTCTTGTATTTGGATGTCTAGATCTCTAGGAAGATTAGGGAAGTTTTCCTCAATTGCTCCCTCAAATAAATTTTCCAAACTTTTAGATTTATTTTCTTCCTCAAGAACAAAGAACACCAATTATTCTTATGTTTGGTTGTTTAACAAATCTAAAATTTCTTGGAGGTTTTGTTAATTGTTTCAGTTCTTTCTTGCTCTTTGTTTTTGTCAGATTGGGTTAATTCAAAAGCCTTGTCTTCGAGCTCTGAAGTTCTTTTTTCCACTTGTTTGAGTCTATTGTTGAACCTTTCCAGTGTATTTTGCCTGTCTTTAAGTGTGTCTTTTATTTCAAGAAGTTGTGATTGTCTTTTCTTTATGATATATATTTCTCTGAAGAATTTTTCATCCATATTTTGTATTTTTTTGAAAATTTCTTTTTTTTATTATTATTATACTTTAAGTTTTAGGGTACATGTGCACAATGTGCAGGTTAGTTACATATGTATACATGTGCCATGCTGGTGTGCTGCACCCATTAACTCGTCATTTAGCATTAGGTATATCTCCGAATGCTATCCCTCCCCTCTCCCCCGACCCCACAACAGTCCCCAGAGTGTGATGTTCCCCTTCCTGTGTCCATGTGTTCTCATTGTTCAATTCCCATCTATGAGTGAGAACATGCAGTGTTTGGTTTTTTGTCCTTGCGATAGTTTACTGAGAATGATGGTTTCCAATTTCATCCATGTCCCTACAAAGGACATGAACTCATCATTTTTTATGGCTGCATTAAATTGGTTTTCACTTTTCTCTGGTGCCTCCTTGAGTAGCTTGATAATTAACATTCTAAATTCTTTATCTGGTAATTCAAAGACTTATTCTTGGTTTGGGTCTATTGCTGGACAGCTAGTGTGATCTTTTGGGGGTGTTATGGAATCTTGTTTTGTCATCTCTGGTTCCTTCTGATTTAAGTAGACTATGTCAGTGGAAAGATCTGGAAGTCAAGGCCTGCTGTTCAGATTATTTTGTCCCACAGATGATCCCTTGATGTGGTGCTCTACCCTATCCCCCAGGGATGGGGCCTCTTTAGAGCTGGACTGGAGTGATTGCTATTGCCTTTCTGGGTCTAGCCACCCAGTGGGACTACTGGGCTCTGGGCTGGTGCTGAAAAATGTCTACAAAGAGTCCTGTGATGTGATCCAGCTTCAGGTCTCTCAGCTGTGAATGCCAGTGTCTGCTCTGGTGGAGGTGTCAGGGGAGTGAAGTGGACTCTGTGGGAGTCCTTGGTATTAGTTTTGTTTAGTGCACTCGTTTTCTCAAATGCTGGTTATGCTAGCAGTGAAGCTGTCACATGGACAGACTCAGGACTTCCGGTTAGCCAGGGTGTTGTAGGTGGTGGAATTAGCTGTTGTTTTCTCCTTCCTAGGATCAGGTTTGTTCTGTTATGGGTTGCTGTAATGGCTTGAGTTGGATGGCCTCCAGCCAGGAGGTGGCACTTTCAAAAGACCACCATCTGCGGTAGTAGAAGGGAGATATAATCTTTTTTTTTTTTTAATTGCTGAAACTCCTGTGTTTTTATATTCTTTCTTTTTTTTGGGCTGTTTTTATTTTTGTTTTTTTTTAAATTATACTTTAAGTTTTAGGGTACGTGTGCACAATGTGCAGGTTTGTTACATATGTACACATGTGCCATGTTGGTGTGCTGCACCCATTAACTCGTCATTTAACATTAGGTATATCTCCTAATGCTATCCCTCCCCCCTCCCCCCACCCCACAACAGGCTGCCGTGGGTGATGTTCCCCTTCCTGTGCCCATGTGTTCTCATTGTTCAATTCCCACCTATGAGTGAAAACATGCGGTGTTTGGTTTTTTGTCCTTGCGATAGTTTGCTGAGAAAGATGGTTTCCAGCTTCATCCATGNCCTNACAAAGGACATGAACTCATCATTTTTNATGGCGCGTAGTTATTCCATGTTGTATATGTGCCGCATTTTCTTGATCCAGTCTATCATTGTTGCACATTTGGCTTGGTTCCAAGTCTTCACTGTTGTGAATAGTGATGCAATAAACATACGTGTGCATGTGTCTTTATAGCAGCATGATTTGTAATCCTTTGGGTGTATACCCAGTAATGGGATTGCTGGGTCAAATGGTATTTCTAGTTCAAGATCCCTGAGGAATCACCACACTGACTTCCACAATGGTTGAACTAGTTTACAGTCCCACCAACAGTGTAAAAGTGTTCCTATTTCTCCACATCCTCTCCAGCACCTGTTGTTTCCTGACTTTTTAATGATCGCCATTTTAACTGGCGTGAGATGGTATCTTATTGTGGTTTTGATATGCATTTCTCTGATGGCCAGTGATGATGAGCATTTTTTCATGTGTCTTTTGGCTGCATAAATGTCTTCTTTTGAGAAATGTCTGTTCATGTCCTTCACCCACTTTTTGATGGGGTTATTGGTTTTTCTCTTGTAAATTTGTTGGAGTCCATTGTAGATTCTGGATATTAGCCCTTTGTCAGATGAATAGATTGCAAAAATGTTCTCCCATTCTGTATGTTGCCTGTTCACTCTGATGGTATTTTCTTTTGCTGTGCAGAAGCCCTTTAGTTTAATTAGATCCCATTTGTCAATTTTGACTTTTGTTGTCATTGCTTTTGGTGTTTTAGACATGAAGTCCTTGCCCATGCCTATGTCCTGAATGGTATTGCCTAGGTTTTCTTCCAGGGTTTTTATGGTTTTAGGTCTAACATTTAAGTCTTTAATCCATCTTGAATTAATTTTTGTATAAAGTGTAAGGAAGGGATCCAGTTTCAGCTTTCAACATATGGCTAGCCAGTTTTCCCAGCACCAGCACCATTTATTAAATAGGGAATCCTTTCCCCATTTCCTGTTTTTGTCAGGTTTGTCAAAGATCAGATAGTTATATATATGTGGCATTATTTCTGATGGCTCTGTTCTGTTCCATTGGTCTATAAGTATGTTTTGGTACCAGTACCATGCTGTTTTGGTTACTGTAGCCTTGTAGTATAGTTTGAAGTCAGGTAGCATGATGCCTCCAGCTTTGTTCTTTTGGCTTAGGATTGACTTGGCAATGAGGGCTCTTTTTTGGTTCCATATGAACTTTAAAGTAGTTTTTTCCAGTTCTGTGAAGAAAGTCATTGGTAGCTTGATGGGGATGGCATTGAATCTATAAATTACCTTGGGCAGTATGGCCATTTTCATGATACTGATTCTTCCTACCCATCATGAGTGAACTCCCATTCACAATTACTTCAAAGAGAATAAAATACCTAGGAATCCTACTTACAAGGGACGTGAAGGATCTCTTCAAGGAGAACTGCAAACCACTGCTCAGTGAAATAAAAGAGGATACAAACAAATGGAAGAACATTCCATGCTCATGGAGGATATAATCTTGCCCTGTGTTGGCCAGGATTAGTACTCGGGTTTCTCAGGTGATGAGCGGGGCCATAGAGCTCCCAAGAGTTTATGTCTTTTGTTTTCAGCTGCCAGGGTGGGTAGAGAAAAACCATTGAGCGCAGGGTGGGTGGGGTGGGGGCGCAGGATTGGGCAGGTCTGATGCTACTTGGGCAGGGCTTGCTGCAGCCACTGTGGAGGACAGAGAGGTGGTTCTTAAGCCAATGGTGTTATGTTCCTAGGGGGATTATGGGTGCCTCTACTGCATTATACATGTCACCAGGGAAGCGGGGGAAAACAGGCAGTGACGGGCCTCACTCAGCTCTCATGCAGCCAGCAAGGCCACTCTTACTCCCGCCATGCCCCTCCAACAGCACTGAGTTTATATCCAGGCAGCCTTTGAGCAGGGCTGAGATCTTTCCCCAGGCTACAATCCTTCCCACTGAGAAAGCAAGCAGGGCTCTCAGGCCTCCCTTCCCTGCCTGCCCTTCCCTTCAGCTGCAGCTTCTGCAATTGTATGTGCACTTCCCATTTGCCCCCCACCCCGTTTCTGCACAGGAAAATTCGTACTCAGCCAAAATTATAACAAAGATCAGCTAGGAGCTTCCTTCACCCTGTGGCCCCTCCCCAGTTCTACTGGCTGCCCTCCCTTCCTGAAGAATCTCTGTGAGATGAGGCCAGGAATGGTTTCCCTGGGCTCCCCCAGGCCTCGGCACAAGGCCTCCAGCCCTCCCTAGAGAGGCAGATGAGAGTCTTTCCCCAATGGAGGTGTTCTCTCGCTGAGACCAGGGCAGGTGCCAAGGTGTCTGTGGAGTTCCTGGGGGCATCCGGGCAGAGGGGAGAAGGAGGACCTGGGAGAGCACACCTTCCTGCCCTCACTAGAGAGGTATTTATTAACTTCTGCGCTCCTGGCCACTGACTGAATTCGTGTCTACATTATCAGCTCATGTAAATTCATTATCCCAACAGCTGGGAATGAGCTCCACTGGATGAGGTGGTGGATGAGGGCCCGGGGGCTGGCAGCTATCCATGCACTGTACAAGCTCTCTTGACATGGGCAGTTCAGTGGAAGTGTCTACAGGGCTCTTCCCATTGCTTCTTCTACTTTTATGTTTTGCTTGGCATCCTAAATCTGTTTCAGCTCTGGGTAAGGTTAAATCCTTCTCCTGTGATCTGGATTTTCAGGTTCCCCAGTGGGGATGTGTGTTCAGAGGCAAACTTTTCCCTGCTCACACTTTGGGAACTCACAGTTTTTTGGCTGTCTCATAGAGTTTGCAACAGTAAAACTGCTTCTTTCAAAGGGTCTGTGAATTCTTTCAGTTTTCCTGGTATGTTCCCATGGTAGTTCTTGCAGCAAAAGCTCACAGTGTGAGTCTCCACACACTGTTCTGTCCATTCCAAGCAGGAGCTGCATGTTAGTTCTGTCTGCTATCCACCATTTTCCAATTTTGTGATATAGTTATGATTTTTTATTGGTTTGTTGTTTTGTCTTTCTATTTAGGACAAGAATAGTGTACACACTGCAGTTAGTGTTATAATATTTAGTGTTTTTCTGTGTACTTACTATTACCAGTTTGTTTTGTATCTTCATATTACTTATTATTACTTAATAAGTGATTACTTACTGCTCATTAATGTCCTTTTCTTTTTGATTGAAGTATTCCCTTTAGCATTTCTTGTAGGACAGGTCTGGTGTTGATGAAATTCCTCAGCTTTTATTTTGGAAAGTCTTTATTTCTCTCTTCCATGTTTGCATAATATTTTCACTAGATATATTATTCTAAGGTAAAAGATTTTTCCTTCAGCATTTTAAATATATCAAGCCATTCTCTCCTTGCCTGTAAGGTAAGGTTTCTACTGTGAGGACTGCTGCCAGATGTATTGGAGCCCCATTGTACGTTATTTGTTTCTTTTCTCTTGCTTGTTTTAGGATTCTTTCTTTATCCTTGATCTTTGGGAGTTTAATTATTTAAATGCCTTGAGGTAGTCTCTTTTGGGTTGAATCTGCTTAATGTTCTATAACCTTCTTGTACTTGAATATTGATATGTTTCTCTAGGTTTGAGAAGTTTTCTGTTATTAGCCCTTTGAATAAACTTTCCACCCCTCTCTCTTTCTCTATGTCCTCTTTAGACCAATAACTCTTAGATTTGCCCTTTTGAAGCTATTTTCTAGATCCTGTAGGCATGCTTCATTCTTTTTGATTCTTTTTTCTTTTGTCTCCTCTGACTGTATATTTTCAAATAGCTTGTCTTCAAGCTCACTAATTCTTCTGCTTGATCAATTCTGCTATGAAAAGATTCTGATGCATTCTTCAATATGCCAATTGCATTTTTAGCTCCAGAATTTCTGTTTGATTCTTTTTAAAATTTTTAAAAATTCTACTTTAAGTTCTGGGATACATGTGCAGAACATACAGGTTTGTTACATAGGTATACATGTGCCATGGTAGTTTGCTGCACCTTCAACCCGTCATCTAGGTTTTAAGCCCCACATGCATTTGGTATTTGTCCTAACGCTCTCCCTCCCCTTGACTCCAACCCCTTGACAGGTCCTGGTGTATAATGTTCCCCTCCCTGTATCCATGTGTTCTCATTGTTCAACTGCCACTTATGAGTGAGAACATGGGGTGTTTGATTTTCTGTTCCTGTGTTTGTTTGCTGAGAATGATGGCTTACAGCTTCATCCATGTCCCTGCAAAGGACATGAACTCATTTTTTTTATGGCTGCATAGTATTCCATTGTGTATATGTGCCACATTTTCCTTATCCAGTCTACCATTGATGGGCATTCGGGTTCCATGACTTTGCTATTGTAAATAGTGCTGCCATAAACATGTGTGCATGTGTCTTTATAGTAGAATGAATTATGATCCTTTGGGTACATACCCAGTAATGGGATTGCTGGGTCAAATGGTATTTCTGGTTCTAGATCCTTAAGGAATCACCACACTGTCTTCCACAATGGTTGAACTAATTTACACTCCCACCAACAATGTAAAAGCATTCCTATTTCTCCACAGCTTTGCCAGCATCTGTTGTTTCCTGACTTTTTAATGATCAGCATTCTAACGGTGATGAGATACCAATGAGATGGTATCTTATTGTGGTTTTGATTTGCGTTTCTCTAATGATCAGTGATGATGAGCTTTTTTTCATATGTTTGTTGGCCGCATAAATGTCTTCTTTTGGGGAGTATCTTTTCATATCCTTCATCCACTTTTTGATGGAGTTTCTGTTTGATTCTTTTAAAGTATTTTAATCTCTTTGTTAAATTTATCTGATAGAATTCTGAATTTCTCCTATGTGTTATCTTTAATTTCTTTGAGATTTCTCAAAGCAGCTATTTTGAATTCTCTGTCTGAATGGTCCTATGTCTTGTTTCTCCAGGATTGGTCCATGGTGCCTTACTTAGTTCATTTGGTGAAGTCATGTTTTCCTGGATTATCTTGATACTTGTAAATGTTCTTTGGTGTTAGGATTTATTGTAGGCTTCACTGTCTGTGTTTTTTTGTTCCTGTCCTCCTTGGGATGGATTTTCAGATATTTGAAAAGACCGGAGTATTTTGATCTATGCTGTATCTGCTTTAGAGGGTACCACAATCCCAGTAATGCTATGGTTCTTGCAGTTTCTAGATGTACTGCTTTGATGGTCTTGGACAAGATCCAGGATAATTCTCTGGATTACCAGGCAGATACTCTTATTTTCTTTCCTTACTTCTCCCAAACAGAGTCCCTCTGTCAGTTCTGAGACACCTGAAGCTAGGAGTGGAGTGAAACCAGCACCCCTGAGGACACCACCACTATGACTGTGCTCAGCCAGACTTGAAGCCAGCACAACACTGGGTCTTCCCTGCTGTAACCACTCCCTGGCCACTGCCTATGTTTGCTCAAGGCCTTGGGGCTCTACAATAAACAGGTGGAAAAGCCATCCAGGTCTGTGCCCTTCCCTTCAGGGTGGCAAGTTCCCCCAAGCCCCAGGTGGGTCCAGAGATGTTGTCTAGGAGTCAGGGACTAGAGTAAAAAACCTTTGAAGTCTACCTGGCATTCTATTGCATTAAAATTGAGCTGGGGGGACTCGGGGGAAAGTGTGAGAGGGGAGTAGGGGATAAAAGACTACACATTGGGTACGGCGTACACCGCTTGGGTGATGGGCACCAAAATCTCAGAAATCACCACTAAGAACTTATCTGTGTAACCAAACACCACCTGTTCCCCAAAAACCTATTGAAATAATAATAATAATAAATAATAATAAAATGAATAAACAAAAACACTGAGCTGGCACTCAAACCACAAAACACAGTCTTTCCCACTCTTTCCTCCCCTGTCCAAAGGCAGAGGAGCCTCACTCCACAGCCCACAAGAAGTACTGCTGGATTATCACAGGTATTCATTTAAGGCAGAAAGGCTATTAAGTCAGCTGGTGGTGACTGCTGCCTGGCCTGGGACTCACTCTTTGGGGCAGTGGGCTTCCCTGTGGCCCAGGAAAGGTCTAGAAATGCTGTTGAAGAGTCAACTCTTGGAATCAAGGGCCCCCAAGAGCTTGCTTGGTGCTTTACCTCCCTGTGGCTGAGCCAGTACCTGAAACCAGCTAGTCTCAGAGGCTCACCCAAGGCCCTTGATGTAGTATCTGGGTATCACTGCTGGTTATTCAGAGCCAAAGGGCTTTTCAGCTAGCAGGTGATGAACGCTGCCATGACTGGGTCTTTCCCTTCAAAGCAGTGGGTTCCCTTCTGGCCCAGGGTGTTTCTAGGAATGTCACCTGGAAGCTAGGGCCTGGAACAGGGACCTCATTATTCTGACTGGTGCCATATCTGTTGTGGCTGAGCTGGTATCCAAGATGCAAGGCAGAGTCCTCCTCAACTCTTTCCTCTCCTCTTCTCAAGCAGCAGGAAGGGGTCTCTTTTAGAGTTGTGAGTTGTGCAGCCTGGGATTGGGGAGGGGTGATGCCAGCACTCCCTTGGCTGCCCCAGCTGGTGTCTCAGTATATTTTGCACCCCTCAGTCCACTGTCTCTGGCCCTAGTTCAGTACTAGGACTTGTCTAAGAATTGCAGTTCTTTTGGCCTAAACTGCCTTTCAGGTTTAGTCAGAGATCCAGAGCACTTCAGCCCTCAGTGGTGAGGTTTGTGGGAACTGAAATTCTGACTGCTGGAATTAGTGATTCCCCTTTGGCTGGGACTGGTTTGAATGCTCCCTTTATGTGTGGGCATCAGCTGAACTTTGTCTGGCTTTCCTTTTTGCTGTAACAGGACAACACTGAGTTTAATGCCTCACCATTGATGTGTTCTCCCTCACCCAGTGCACGAAAATGCTCTTTGCACCACACCACAGCTGCCAGGGTGTGATGGAGGGGTGGCTTCAGTGCTTCAAGACTCCTTCTGCAACCTTTTCAGTGCCTTTTTCAGCAACACAAAGTTAAAAGCAGGTACTGCAAGTGCTCACTTGAGTTTTGGTTCTTGTGAAGGAGCTTTGCTTGCACAGATAGTTGTTAAATTGGTGTCCTTGTTGGGGAAACAATCAGTGGAGCCTTCTATTCCACCATCTTGCTCCACCTCCCATAGTACTATACATCTCTTCTTTTGGCTAGTTCTGTTTGGATATTTTTGCTATAATAAAACTGTAGTTGTAAGTATAGTGCTTTCCAGAGTTCTTTAATTTTTTTTAGTGAATTATCAAGCTTGAAGGGTTAGTGGGGATTCCTAAATATGGTAGCCAGCTGTTTAGAAGTATAGGTAGCTTACGTAACCTTGAACTTGCAGCTGATGTCTGAAGTAAGGACAGTGTTATGGAGGACCATGTCCTTAACTTTTGAAGTTTGGCTCAACTCTAGTAGTTGTTGTCAAAAGTTGATGTAACATGCCTAGTAATTTTAGGAATGCTGGATATTGTAAAGGCTATATTCTTACTTGTCTGGATTTAATTGACTTCCTTTAAACAGTGTTGGACTGTGTTAGGTTACTTGTGAGTCATCTTGATCCTTTGGGGGATTGATTTTATGTTTTGTTAAGAAGATAGCTTTTATTCTACCTAATTCCAATACTCTGTAGATCATTTCTACTACTAAACCATGGCCTTCTGGGATCTCCCAGCTAGCTGTTTCCTGGAGATTATAAATGACTCTAACACATCTTTCATATGCAAACCAACTAATTCAGGGCTCATACGTTCCCCAACCACTTCCTTTATCAGGACTCTACACCCTGGGCCACTATTCTCCTGCCCTAATCAGCCAGGTCCAGGTAACAGAAAAGTAAAGACAGCCGCTGTACCCCAGAGCCTGCTAAAAGTATTCAAACGAGCTAATCCTAAGCCTGATTACCTTGTCATGCCCACTCTTTCCTGCAGAAACTACAGTAAAGGCTCTTGCCCACCTTGACCCCTCACTCCAGCTGCCTCCTAACACTGGTGCTTCTCCATGTGGTCTTGGGTGGTGTGCTGTGTCTTCTGTTTGTAGGGATCTGTCGATATAAACCTTTTCCTTCACGATAGTCATTTCTGTGTCTGCATATGTTACCACATTGATTAAAAAGAGTAAGTACTGTATGATTCCACTTACCCGAAATTCAAAAGCAGACAAAATTAACTTATGGTGTTAGAAGTCAGGGTAGTGGTGTTTTTTTTTTTTGCTTTTTTTTTGGTTTTTTTTTTGCTTTTTTTTTGTTTTTTTTTTTTTTCCTGGAAGGAGGATGTAAGGAGGCAGGAGCACAGATCCTGATATGCTGATAATCTGTATCTTGACCTAGGTGCAGCTTGCAAGAGGGTGTTCAGTTTGTGCAAATCAACCAAGCTGTATATTTATAATTGGGCACTTTCTTCTTGCATGTAATACAGACCAGTTGCATTATTGGTTCCAATTTTCTACCTCCCACTATATCCCTGCCCTTTACCATGTAACTTTACAAATAGTCTCTCACTTTGGCTCTAGAATCCACCATATGACTTGATTTGGCCAATACAATAAATAGGAAGTAAGGGTGTGCTTGTTCTTGGCCTGAGCCTGAAGAGGCCTTGTGTGTTTCTTCTACTCTCGTACTTTTGTTATTAACATTATATAGACATGGTGGAGCTAGCTCACTCATCCCAGGATGAGAGCCTCAGCTAAGTTTCTCCATCCAAACACAGCCTGGAGCTGGGCTCTAACTTGTTACACAGATGAATGAGTGAATATTGTTAAGATAAGTCAAGCCCAGCCCAGATTTCTGACCCACAGCCAACCCACAGATGCATAAGCTGAAGATGACTGGTTTTATCAAGCTAATTGTTATAATAGTGGAGAAAAGATCATGAGGACAAAAAGTGGGCAGAGTCGGAAGAAAAGAGAGGAAGAAATTGAGACAGAAGACATTTCATTTAAAAAAATATTCCATTGAGCTGGGTTTGAAATAGTGCACTGCCTGTTCTCCTAATGCTGTATGGTATCATGAAATCTATTGTTTACTGAGTCTATGAGCCAGCTTCCTAGGGAGGCTATGGCAATTGAGGACAGGGAAGAGGTAACACTCAGGAACATAGAAGGAGAATTTGGGTCCAAGTGGGTGGAGGGAAAAATAACTGGGTTTAGTTTTGGGTAGGGCTGGTTTTGAGGTCTCTGAAGGACATGTAAGTGGAGTTTTCCAGCAGGGAGAAAACGCAGAGCTAAAGCTCATATCTTTGCTGGCAATCTAGATTTGGGCATCTTCAACAAGCAGGTTGTAGCTGAGGAAGCTGGGACTGGACTTGTACTCTAAAGCCAGTGCAAAAAAAGCTTGAAACGGCTATGATGGCTAAGACCTGGCTTTTCCATGAAAAATGCTTCGGTCAGTATGAGTGATTCCAAAGTGGTGATCAATTAAAAACTGAAGTATGATTAGCATTAATTATAACCCAATGGGAATATGATAAACGACTCTTGGTCAGCAAGCAGAGGGTGCCCTGTAGTGCTAAAGCATCACCATATACCATGTGTGCCAAGAATCAGGAGACACCCCAAACGGGAGCAGATGAGGGGTTGTGTCTGTCATTGGACCAGCTGGCCTGATCCAGCAGAAGTGGATGGAGATACACTGAATGGGGCTCCTGGGAGGCGTGAGTTGAAGGGGAAGGAAGAGAAGAGACCTCCAAAGTAAGGGAAGAGTGAAAAATGAGAAGGACTGGGGTGGAGCCCCAAGTAGGGACCAGAGGAGAAAACAGGGATAAAGTAATCAAGGGAGATGGGACAGGAAGATGAAAGAATGAGGTAAACAGCAGGTGGGAAGAGGAGGTCAACCTAAAGGAGAAAGCCGGGTCGAAGAAAGAAGGAAGAGAAGAAAAGAAGGGTTGGGAAACAGAGGAGGAGGCAGCCAAGAAAGCCTGGAAGCTGAATCATAGAACGGAAGAGGTAGAAGACGGAGGGGCTGGAGGATAACATAAAGGTGGGAAACGGAAGAGAGAAAGAACCGCGTCTGCGTGTATGACGGCTAGACAGGAGTTCAGAGAACAGCGGGGTCGCCAGGCCACCACCTGATGGGCCACGGCTCATTGGCTCTAGGAGCTGGGAAAGGGCATCCCAGGAAAGAAGCCCTAGACTTTAGCCTGAGTCTGGGCCACTCTAGGGGACCGGGAGTGGGGTGGCGGGAGAGGACGCGCAGAATCTCGACTTCTGGCCCCAATCTGTGCATGATCACCCGAGCTCAGCGGACGCTCCTCTCTGACCCAGGCAGGCGGCTCAGGGACGCGTGCGGGGATGCAGAGAGAAACCGCTGAGGAATTAGGGCCGGGAGAGACTGGTACCTGCCGGGGGCGTGTGGTGGGGCAGAGCTGGCACTGATGCTGAGAGTGGCTAAGGAGCGCGGCGCCCCAGAGCAGAAGGGCTGGCAGACGCTCAGAGAGCCAGGATGGTTCAGGGTCCAAGGAAGGTCCTATGTTGGGTGGGAGCTGTGAGGGAGTGAAAGTGCATGAGGAACCGGAGGAGATGGAAAGACCTTGGCTTGGGTGTTCGAGGGTGGGACTGCGTGGTGACCGACGGCACAGAGGGTGTGTGTTGGGGCGGAAGAACCACCCCAGCTGAATCGTCCCCGTGGGGTTTTCTTCCCGTGTCTTAGTTCCAGAAGTATGCGCATCAGACGCTAATAGTTGAGGAACAAGTCATGGAAGGACAGCCTAAGCGGGAGGTGAATGTAAAGCCGTGGAGAGGGCGGGCGAACTAAGAAGGCCTTCGTTCTCCTCCGGCCACCGCGGCTGCATCCTTGAGAAAGGGGTATTGCTGCGAACCGCGCCAGGGCTGGACGCGGCGAGGTGGGAGGCAGGATGGAGGGGCGGGAGCCAAGGCCGAGGGGGCGGACACGGGTGGCGTCTGGCGCTCCATAAAGGGGTTGCGGGGGCCGCGCTCTCTTCTGGGAGGGCAGCGGCCACCGGCGAGGAACACGGCGCGATGCAGGTTCAGTGCCAGCAGAGCCCAGTGCTGGCAGGCAGCGCCACTTTGGTCGCCCTTGGGGCACTGGCCTTGTACGTCGCGAAGCCCTCCGGCTACGGGAAGCACACGGAGAGCCTGAAGCCGGCGGCTACCCGCCTGCCAGCCCGCGCCGCCTGGTTCCTGCAGGAGCTGCCTTCCTTCGCGGTGCCCGCGGGGATCCTCGCCCGGCAGCCCCTCTCCCTCTTCGGGCCACCTGGGACGGTACTTCTGGGCCTCTTCTGCCTACATTACTTCCACAGGTAGCGTTTTTCCCTTGCGGGCGCCCAGTGCAGCGCACTGCCCTGCTCCCGGCGTCCAGGAGCGCAGCGTGGAGCGCGCACCGAGGAACGCCAAGGAGGCAGCGTGGGGCGCTGTGAGGAACGCGGAGGCCAGCCTGCCTGGCGCACCTGGCGGGGGCCGGGGCCGGGGCTTGGACGCTAGAGAGTTGACAAGCGGCTGCGGCACAGACGCCGCCTTCACTCCCCCAGGACCTCATCCGCTCTCAGCAGCTCCAAATCCTCTGGCTGCTCGAGAGAAAGAGGTCCTGCGGGCGGGAGGCGACCTGGAAAGCTCAGGTTGGGGAGACCTATTGGACAGGACTGTTCCTTAACTGCGCGCAGGCGGCGGTTACCTGTGGCATATCGCGCCCCGCCCCGCTTCCCTTTCTTCCTTCACCTTTTCCTTGCAGGGTGGGGACAGATTAGTTCTGGGATCTTGGGAGAGTCTTACGCGTTTGGCATCTCCCGAGGGAAACTCAGCTCAGAGGTTCTCATTGATTTAGTCTTTGCAGGTCTAAGGAGGAAGGTGGGTAGAGCCCAAATCCAGACTTCACAGATGGGGAAGAGAATATAGTGAGATCCCACTGACTCAAGCGAGGGTCCCCGCTTCTTAGGCCCCTCCCAAAAGGGACCAAGCACACCACCAATTCATCTACCTTTCCAATTTCCCTGGGACTTGAAATGTGAGTGGGTAACTTACAGCTCAAATGTTCTTCTAGATTTAAAAAATCCGGGTTCAGGAGAACTTTGCTTTCTGCTCTGGGAAGGAAAGACAGGAAAGAGACCAAGGGATGTCAGGGTTCAGAGAAAGACTGTCCAGCCTCAGTAAAGTCTCACAGGGAAAGGGAAGAACGAACACATTGTTAAATTGCCTACCATGCCCAATCGTTTAGTATCTATGGTCTCACTTAACTCTGTTGTAACCTTTTGAGAGATATTTATTATGTCCACTTTACAAAGAAACTGAGGCTGAGTAAGGTTATGGGACTGAAAGAAGACAATACAGCTGGTGCCCGCTAAGATGCAAATCTGAGCTTGTGAATCTCTGAGGTTTAAGACCTTTTAGCCGTTTTAAGTAGGCAGATATTCTATGCAAGAAGAGAACAGAGCCCATAAACAGAGAAAAGTTATCAAACGAAATCAAAACCTTGAAGGTTTTGCCTTATTTTGAGTAGAAGATTCCTAGGGTCAAAAGATCAAGGAAGTTTGGATTAGAAATTAGGATAAAGAATGCCTCTGGCATAATCTGTCTCGTAAAGAGAAAGTGATGCCTCATTTCGAGAGAAGAAGGTGTCAGAGACGGATTTCAAACTGTCTTTCTTAATTTCCTCTTATCCTCTGAATCTTCTTTATTGGTCAAGATTTAATATTTATGCAATCTTAACTGAATTCTCACTCTTTTTAAAAGGCAAATGTTGTCAAGTAATAAGAACTAAACTGTATCCTTTCAACAAATATTTACTAAAAGCCTGCTGTGAACAAGATTCTTTATTTTACACAGATTTTATTTTACTCAGATTTAGATGGTTTAATTTGCACAGAAAGAAGGATGTTGGATACAGGAGATAAGAGATTAGTTTTTTATTTCACTGATTTTTGAACAGACATTTGACAGAAATGTGATTTTTGTCAACAATTATTTTTATCTTCAAATTAACTACTGTATGTTGGCAACATAAGCAATATTTTTATGAGGTCATTTCATCTTAATGATTAGTGTTTTGTGACAATCATATTAATGTAATCTTTAGGCTTGTTTTTGAAATCAAAAGGCACTTTGCACAATACATTATGACCGGTGCATTTAAAAAAAAACCCAAAGGAGTAATTATGCATAAAACAAATATCTACATATTGTCCTTCTTCAGAGGAAATTTTAAAATATTAGTAAAGGACTTGGAGATTCATTCTGCCTGAGGGAAAATTGCCCACTGGAAGTACAACTCTTGAGCTACTTGTTCCTGAGGCATCGGGATCTGATGTTTGTCTTTCCTCTTTTTTGAATTCTTTCTTTGAAGCCACTGGAGTGTGTGATCTGTTATTATTTGAGTGCTTACAGGGTGTTACACTCTGTGTGCCAAACACTCTGAGTAAATAATTTACTCATCCTCATACCAACCCATTTAGGTAGGCACGCCCATTTTGCAGGTGGAAAACTGGAGCAAGAAAAGGTTAAATAACTTCCTTGCCCAAGGTCACACAATAACGAGGAATCAGAGTTCAAACCCAGGCAGTAGACTCCAGATCTCAGGCTCTTCAGGTATGATAATAAACTGTTGTATACTTGTTGGATAAATGCGACCTCATTCTTGCTTTTTAAAAACTATATTTATTCTTAAAATTATTATGTAAAAATTTTTTAAATTATAAAAACATTTTTTCCTAATGAAAAATGGAAAAATCCCAAAAGTAGAAAATACTCATAATTACATCTAAGTATATTAAATATTAATGTTTTAGAGAATTTCTATCAAATCTTTTTCCTTAGTAGATTTTCACACATGCTTGTTATGTTGAATATATGGTTTTTTAGTTCTGTTTAATTACCTAACATTTTATAGTATTTTCCAACATTATCACAGATTTCTTAATATCTGCTTATTTCATCTACTGTAAAAATAATAATTTACCTATATATTCATTTATAGTTGGACATTTAATTTGTCTTGGGGTGAGGCTAGGTTCATTGAAGCTGTGATGTACATTTTTTGCATCTAAATTCTTTTCAAAGGTTAGATCTATTTTCTTAGGATTTCCAGAAGTGGTTCAAAGGTTATGAACATTCTTTAGGGTCTTGATATAATCATACATATCTGTTTCGAGGCTTAAGGAGTCATTTGGCTTGATACTGAGGGTGCATTAAGGAACAAGCATCAGGCTGTCTTGGCTTTATCTCGTGCTGTGTGTTGCTAAGACAGAGAATAAGACGGAGAGACAGGGAGAAAGGATGGCTCAGGTTTGGCTCAGACTCTTTTGCAAAATGTCCATTGGGGACTGTTCAAAGCAGCAATATGTCCCATCAAATAGAAGTTAAAACTCATTGTACTTTTCTCAATACAAGGATGGCACACAAGAATGTAGATTCCACAGGGTCAAAGGTTTTTGTCTCACTTTTATGGCTGTATCCCCATTGTATACAAAGAGCTGGTACATAGTTGGTACTCACTAGAATTTGTTGAATGCATGAATGAACTCTACTTACAACAACCGTACAGACAGAATTGTAGGAGAGCTAGCAATTACTTGGGAATCATAATTGCTGAGATTGCATAGTTAGGTCAATTCAGATAACTTTCCTCTCTTCAGAATCTATTGTTGTGGCTGTTTGGATTCTTTAGCCACATGGAAATGACTGCTGCCTAAGCACATTGCCTAATCCCACTGCCAAAGGCATTTGAAGTCAAGAGTTATCTCACCTCTTTTTTTTTTTTTTTTTTTTAATGTTTTTTTTTTTATTATACTCTAAGTTTTAGGGTACATGTGCACATTGTGCAGGTTAGTTACATATGTATACATGTGCCATGCTGGTGCGCTGCACCCACTAACGTGTCATCTAGCATTAGGTATATCTCCCAATGCTATAAGAAAAACCAACACAGAGACCACCACAGTTCCCAGAGTGTGATATTCCCCTTCCTGTGTCCATGTGATCTCATTGTTCAATTCCCACCTATGAGTGAGAATATGCGGTGTTTGGTTTTTTGTTCTTGCGATAGTTTACTGAGAATGATGGTTTCCAATTTCATCCATGTCCCTACAAAGGACATGAACTCATCATTTTTTATGGCTGCATAGTATTCCATGGTGTATATGTGCCACATTTTCTTAATCCAGTCTATCATTGTTGGACATTTGGGTTGGTTCCAAGTCTTTGCTATTGTGAATAGTGCCACAATAAACATATGTGTGCATGTGTCTTTATAGCAGCATGATTTATAGTCCTTTGGGTATATACCCAGTATTGGGATGGCTGGGTCAAATGGTATTTCTAGTTCTAGATCCCTGAGGAATCGCCACACTGACTTCCACAATGGTTGAACTAGTTTACAGTCCCACCAACAGTGTAAAAGTGTTCCTATTTCTCCACATCCTCTCCAGCACCTGTTATTTCCTGACTTTTTAATGATTGCCATTCTAACTGGTGTGAGATGATATCTCATAGTGGTTTTGATTTGCATTTCTCTGATGGCCAGTGATGATGAGCATTTCTTCATGTGTTTTTTGGCTGCATAAATGTCTTCTTTTGAGAAGTGTCTGTTCATGTCCTTCGCCCACTTTTTGATGGGGTTGTTTGTTTTTTTCTTGTAAATTTGTTTGAGTTCATTGTAGATTCTGGATATTAGCCCTTTGTCAGATGAGTAGGTTGCGAAAATTTTCTCCCATTTTGTAGGTTGCCTGTTCACTCTGATGGTAGTTTCTTTTGCTGTGCAGAAGCTCTTTAGTTTAATTAGATCCCATTTGTCAATTTTGGCTTTTGTTGCCATTGCTTTTCGTGTTTTGGACATGAAGTCCTTGCCCACGCCTATGTCCTGAATGGTAATGCCTAGGTTTTCTTCTAGGGTTTTTATGGTTTTAGGTCTAACGTTTAAATCTTTAATCCATCCATCTCACCTCTTGTTGACTGTGATTACAGCTGTGGAATGACCCCTTGTCTAAACTCTCTGATTGGTCTTCACTTTCCCAAGAAGTCTTGGTGTTCCATACAGTGGTCAGTCACATCACTTATGCATGTGGTGGCTGATGTCTTTTTCAAGACTTTGATGGGACCTTGATAACTGAATGAACAAGACAAAGAAACATTTTTTTTTCCAGAGAAGAAGTGACTACATTGTGAAAAGGTTTTGGGCAATGTAATTTCCATGATATACATCTAGAAGCAGAGTATAATGCACACATTAGAGTCTGTTTGAATTCGGAGAGATATTCCTTGAGGTTTAGATGCTGAAACATTTTTTTGATTAGCCAAATAAAATGATGGCTTCAATAAGGTGCTTTTTGCTTTATTAGTCAGTTCATTCCCCAGCGGAATTTCTCCTCATCCTTCAAGATTCAGGTCAGGCATCCTTTCCTCCAAGAAGCCTTGTCTGAGTCTTTTCTTTTCTCTAAATCCAGTTGTGATGCTGTTCTTTGGGCTTTCATAATAGGCAGTGTGGCTTTCGATGAGGCATTTCACACACTGGATCATAATTATCTGTTCTAAGGAAACGTAGTTCTCATCTGCCCAGCCTCTTCATTTTACAGAAGCAAAGCACAAAAGGTTGGGTCAGTTAGGGGGAAATCAAAGAGTTGGAACTTGAGTCTTCTCATGAGCCCCTGCCAATGCTTCTCTTATTTCACGAGAGGTGCAGATGTCTCAACTATTCAGAAGTAATCAGACCTTGCTAAGGAAACTACTCATCTGCTGAGAATCAGAATGAGAATTAATGGCTACTTTGGAAACAATAGACAAATCTCTCCTCTTAGAGATTAAGAAAAAAAAAGCCCAAGCAAGAAAAGCAACATTCCTGTGATCACTTAATCATGTGTTAAGGATGTTCCTGAATCATAATTTAAATAAATTAAGATTAATTGAAGGATTTTTTTAGAATGAGAGTCAGCAAACTTTTTCTGTAAAAAGCCAGGTCATGATCTCTATTGCAGCAACTCACCCCTACTGTTATAGCGGGAAAGCAGCTACAGACATTATGTAAACAGATGAATGTGGTTGTATTCCAATAAAGCTTTATTTACAAAAACAAGCAGTGGGCCATATTTGGCCTATGGGCCATAGTTTACCAATCCCTTCTAAAGAAAACTATGAATGGCGTGGCTTTACATTCAGTGCCCTGGTAATTCTATAATAAAATTTGGTTAAATTCTATAGCAAAGCAGCGGGCATATCTTAGAAAATTTCTGCTACATGTAAGTGGGGACTTGGCAGTAAATATTGTTTTCTGAGAATTCTTGGGTTCTAAGTTTTTATTTGAACTTTTATGGGAAAATAGTAGGAGTCTTGGAGTTTTCATTCTAAATGGAATGACATCATAAGCACATCTGAAAAATATATAGCTATGTTTGCCAAAAATATAAACCAGCTTTGGAGATCGTGACCACTTCACTTTTACCACACTGAAGAAAGGACCAACTTTTTGTCCATTTAAAATCTAATTTAATGTCACTTAAAAAGAACAAACAAAATAAAGAATTACGATGGGAATTCAAGGATTCAGACTGGCAAAGTGACATGTACCAAGTTACATGGCAAGAAAGGGCAGAGTGGAGCTTGAAGCCTGGTCTCCTGATCTTTATCAGAGTTCTATAGGCTCAGAACTATGCTAGGTCTCATGGGAGTCATAGGAGTACAATACCTAGTGCTTGCCCTCTAGGAAGAAGGCAGGAAAGAACCTTCATTGTGTGCTTCTCACTCTTTCTGGTGTGAAACTTGGGTGGCAGCAACGTCAGTCTGACAATATCAGGCAGGTGGGAAAATGTAAACTGAGGGGGAAAGAAGCCTGGTTAGCACGGGCCCCCGCCAGGCCACTGAACATTCATCTGAGAGGGCCCTAGTGCCTGTCTATGTTTGATTGTGCATGGGACAGGGGGCAGATAGATAGGTGGATAGGTGTTGAGGGGGCCTCAAAATGGCACCCTTCTTCTCCATTCAAGTTCAGAACTAACTGAGAGATCCAGGAATTAGGTAACTAGAGACATATTACCACCTTTTATTACTGGTAAAGCTGGTTTGGGGGAATGTGGCTTAGATTTTTGGATTATATGGGCCTTATAACACAGTACCTCAGAAATAATTAGCTATGATCATGGCTGGGCAACCACAGGCCTCTCACAGTGGTACCTGTTCTGAAAAGACAGCAGAAGGGCTGAGCTGTACGCATCCTTTGGCAGGTCCTGCTCCCAGATTGACCCATCAGGTAATTCACATTTCCTTGCCTGAGGAGGAATGGGTGAGGGACAGTGGAAGGGCTTGCAGTGATGCTCTAATGAAGGGCCCTCAGCCAGCTGTAGGGGGAGCATAAATATTTTTTGTTACTAGATGGAATACAAACGTTGTCTACTTATTGAATTTTGCCACAGCCTGGCAACTTGTTTCTGCAACTTGGGGTACTTCCCGTTCTGCTGTTGACTCCCTGCCATGTATGGCAATGGGGACATCAAAGTCTGGACTCAAGTTGTTTTAAAAGTTTCTGTGCTCAACCCAGGAGCCTTTAACGAGACTCAGCTCAACATAGGAGCTCTAAATTTTAAAAACCCCTGAACTAGGGCCAACAGTGCAATTTGTCTTCCATTTGGTTATAGAAGGGAGAGAAGGGAAACCAATATTTATTGCGCTCTGGGTGTTCCAGGCATTATATTATGTTCTTTGCATTGGCTATCTCATTTTGTCCTTGAGGCAATCCCTGTTATTAGTGCTATTTTACAAGTGATTGCAGTGCAGAGCATTGATGGAGTGAGTGGGAGTGAAGATGGGAGACTTGACCTGGTCCTTGAAGAATGGCCTGTTCCCAGATTTCTGGGTGGGGACATGATGTCTGTTGGGAAAAGGGGCCCATTTGGTGATCTGTGACTTAAATTTGCCTTATACTTTGTATACTCAGTCTTGGAGTATCTCTCTACTTTTAGATTCCAAACATCTTCTGTAACTATGCCATATTATCCAGTCCTACTACCCAAGTCTTAAATTAGGCTCTGGGCCTCTTTCAATTTCTTTTTTTTAATATTTGCTCCATATTGTTAAGGCTGATCCTAGAAGTTACTGTGAAGAAAACAGGGTAATTTGGTTTTGATATTTTTTCTTTCTAACCACGAAACATCCCAAGATCTTTTTTCATGTATAGACTCTGGTTCTCTCTTGCCTCTCTGCCTGCCCTCTTGTATCAGCAGTACATGATCTTACTTCTATCTTTTAAAACTTAACTCTGTGTCTCATGCTGTCAGTCAATGCCCTTTACTTGCCAAAAGTTACTCATGTGATAAACAAATCTAAGTTCTAGTGTATTGGGTTGTTTGTTTTCTTATTATTGAGTTTTAAAAGTTGTTTATGTATTCTGGATAGAAGTATTTTGCCAGGTATAAACTTAGCAAATATTTTCTCTCAGTTTGTGACTTGTCTCTTTTATTCTCTTAACTGTCTTTTGTTTTAAAAAAATTATTTTTAGGTTCAAGTTTACATATGCAGTTCTGTTATACAGGTAAACTACATGTCTCAGGGGTTTGGTGTACAGATTATTTCATCACCCCAGTAATAAGCATACTACCCGATAGGTATTTTTTCAATCATCACCCTCCTTCCATCCTCCACCCTCAAGTAGACCCCAGTGCTGTTGTTCTCTTAGTATCCATATGTACTTGGTGTTTAGCTCCCATTTATAAGTGAGGATATGCAGTTGGTTTTCAGTTTCTATGTTAGTTAGCTGAGGATAATGGCCTGCAAAGGACATGATCTCATTATTTTTCATGGCTGCATAATATTCCATGGTGTATATATGCCACATTTTCTTTATCCAGTCCACCATTGATGGATATTTAGGTTGAGTTCATGTCTTGACTGTTGTGAATACGTGCTGCAATGAGCATGCACATGCATGTGTCTTTATGGTAGAACAATATATATTCCTTTGGGGATATACCCAATAATGGGATTGCTGAGTTCAATGGTGATTCTGTTTTAAATTATTTGAGAAATTCCTCCTAGCAGTGTATAGGCGTTCCCTTTTCTCCATAACCTTGCCAGCATTTATTATTTTTGACTTTTTAATAGTAGCTATTCTGATTGATGTGAGATGATATTTTATGGTGGTTTTGATTTGCATTTCTCTAATGATTAGTGATGCCGAGCATTTTTTCATATCCTTGTTGGCCACATATATCTTGTTTTGAAAAGTATCTGTTGATGTCCTTTGCCCACTTTTAATTGAATTGTTTGGTTTTTGCTTGTAAATTAGTTTAAATTCCTTATAGATGCTGGATATTAGACCTTTGTCAGATGCACAGTTTGCAGATATTTTTTCCCATTCTGTAAGTTGCATGTTTACTCTCTTGATAGTTTTTTTTCCTGTGCAGAAGCTCTTTAGTTTAATTAGGTCCTATTTGTCAATTTTTGGTTACGTTGCAATTGCTTTTGGTGTCTTTGTCATGAGGTCTTTGCCAGATCCTATGTCCAGAATGGCATTTTCTAGGTTTTCTTCTAGGGTGTTTATGGTTTTAGGTTTTGCATTTAAGTCTTTAATTCATCTTGAGTTGATTTTTGTATGTGGTGTAAGGTAGTGGTCCAGTTCCAATTTTCTGCATATGGCTAGTCAGTTATCCCAGCTCCATTTTGAATAGGGAGTCCTTTCCCTGTTACTTGCTTTTGTCAACTGTATTAAATATCAGATGGTTGTAGGTATGCAGCATTGTTTCTGGGCACTCTATCCTGTTCCATTGGTCTATATGTCTGTTTTTGTACCAGTGCCACGCTGTTTTGGTTACTGTAGCCTTGTAGTGTAGTTTGAAGTCAGGTAATGTGGTGCCTCCAGCTTTGTTCTTTTTTCTTAGGATTGCCTGGTTATCCCAGCTCTTTTTTGATTCCATATGAATTTTAAAATAGTTTTTTTCTAATTCTGTGAAGAATGTCATCAGTAGTTTGATAGGAATAGCATTTAATCTGTAAATCGCTTTGGCAGTATGGCCATTTTAACAATATTGATTCTTTCTATCCATGAGCATGGAATGTTTTTCTGTTTGTGTCATCTCTGATTTCTTTCAGCAGTGTTTTGTCATTCTCATTGTAGAGATCTTTTACCTCTCTGGTTAGTTGTATTCCTAGGTATTTTATTCTCTTTGCTGCAATCATGAATGGGATTGCATTCTTGATTTGGCTGTCAGTTTGGATGTTGTTGGTGTATAGGAATGCTAGTAATTTTTGTACATTGATTTTGTATCCTGAAACTTTACTGAAGTTGTTTATCAGACCAAGAAGCTTTTGGGAAGAGACTATGGGGTGTTCCAGGTATAGAATCACATCATCTGCAAACAGGAATAGTTTAACCTCTTCTCTTCCTATTTGTATGCCTTTTATTTCTTTCTCTTACCTGATTGCTCTGGCCAGGATTTCCAGTACTATGTTGAAAAGGAGTGGTGAGAGAGGGTATCCTTATCTTGTTCTAGTTTTCAAGGGGAATGCTTCCAGCTTTTGCCTATTCAGTATGATGTTAGCTGTGGGTTTGTCATTGATGGCTCTTGTTATTTTGAATTATGTTTCTTTAATGCCTCATTTGTTGAGGGTTTTTAACATGATGAGGTGTTTAGTTGTATTGAAAGCCTTTTCTGAATCTATTAAGATAATCATGTAGTTTTTGTTTTTAGTTCTGCTTATGTAAATCACATTTACTGATTTGCATATGTTGACTCAACCTTGTATCCCAGGGATAAAGCCTGCTTGATCCTGGTGGATTAGCTTTTTGATGTCCTACCAGATTAAGTTTGCCAGTGTTTTGTTAGGGATTTTTGCCCTGATGTTCATCAGGGATATTGGCCTGAAGTTTTCTTTTTCTGTTGTGTCTCTGTGAGGTTTTGGTATGAGGATGATTCTGGCCTCATAGAATGAGTTGGGGAGGAGTCCCTCTTCCTCAATTTTTTGGAGTAGTTTAAGTAGGAGTGGTACCAGCTCTTCTTTACACATCTGGTGTAATTTGTCTTAACTGTCTTTTGAAAAACAGAAATGTTTAATTTTGATGAAGTCTAATTTTTCCATTTTTCTTTGGCTTTTGATGTGATATCTAAAAAATTTTTGCCTAATCTAAGGTCACAGTGATTTTCTCTTATATTTCCTTCTACAAGATTTGTAGTTTTAGGTTTTAATTTCAGGTCTATGACACATTTTGAATTAATTTTTAAAGTAGGTTTCCAAGTTTGAATCAAAGTTTTTTTGTTGTGTTTTTTTTTTTTTGTTTTTTGTTTTTTGCATGTGGACAGTCAATTGTTTTAGTACCATTTGTTGAAAATACTACTTTTTGTCCAATGAACTGCCTTTGCACCTTAACTTTAAAAATAGGAGAATTATATGAACAGATACTTTGCCAAAGAAAACGTATGATTGGCAAACAAGAACATGAAAGGATGCTCATTATTAGTGATTAGGGAAATGCAAATTAAACCACAATGGGGTATCACTATGTGTCTGATAGAATGGCTCAAATAAAAAATACTGACCATACCAAGTGTTTGTGAGGATGTGGAAGAGCTGGAACTCTCATACCTTTGATGGGAATTTAAATGACAACCACTTTGGAAAATGGTTTGATAGTTTCTTAAAAAGTGAAACATATACCTATCATATAATGTAGCCATTGCATTTCTGGTTATTTTTCTAAGAAAAATAAAAGCATGTGTTCATACAAATGGTGGTAGCAGCAGCCTGACTGGAGTGGCTGCAGTGTTAGAGGCATGGCTGGGGCTGCGCACTCCACAGAGCTGGCACGGCCAGGAACAGGCATGAGCCCCATCCCCTACCAAGTTGGTGGGGCAGAAGGCCAGTGCTCCTTGGCGCAGCTGCAGCCACCCAGCCATGGCTCTGGACCCGGGCTTCCCTGTGCTCTCAGGGGCCTGGGAAGCGCCCCTGCCCCTGAAGGCTTGGAAGTACCTGCTCCCGCTCCTTGGCCTCTTCCCACTCTAGGCACCTGCTCTGGGGTGGAACAAAGTTGTGGCTGAGCCAAGGTGCTGTTGCTCGGCCTGGCATGTGCAAGCTCAGGGCGGCATTGACACACCAGCCCCCTGCCGCCTTGGCCCCCTCCAGACTTTGGGTGCTGATGAGCATGGGAGGAGGGGCAAGTGGGGGCTGAGGGTGGCTTAGTGCAGGCTTGCAAGCACCCCTTGGCACTAACAGCCTGGGCACCATGGATGGCATGTGGATGGTGGCAGGAGGCAGACAGGCTCCTGGGTGGAAAGGGGCAGGTCTCGGGTGAAACCCCACCTTCAAGCCAGGGATGGCCTGAAGCCTGGGTGCTGGGCTGTCAATTCTGGATGGAGTCAGTGGCCCAGAGTGACAATTTATGGTGCTTTTTCTGAACCTGCTCATGGTGGCCCATGGACCAATCAGCACGCCCTTCCTTCTGAGGCTATAAAAACTCTGGACTCATCCAGACTTGGGCAGACATCAGGACTACCAGCTGTGGGAAGGAACTGCCCACTTTGGGTCTCCCGAGAGCCTCTCTGTCACTCACTGAAGCTCCTCTCTGCCTTGCTCATCCTCCAGTTGTTTGCGTACCTCATTGTTCCCGGACACGGGACAAGAAATCAGGACCTGCTGAATGCGGGGACTGAAAGAGCTGTAACACAAACAGGTCTGAAACATGCCCCCCTGCTTGTCACATTGCAGGCAACAAGAAGGAGAGAAGAGCTGGGACCCTTCGGGGAGCCCAGAACTAGGGGAGCCCTGAGCCAGGGCTATGACACCCTCTTTGGGGCTTTGTGGTTCCTGGCATCTCCAAGCTTCCAGGCACCACCATGTTCCCTTCATCCAGATGTGGGTGCCCACAGTGGAAGCCACTTGGGGTACATCTGGTCCAACCATAGCCTCACATGGAGCCGGCACTTATGCTGTCATCTGGAGCTGCTTGCCTTGCCCAGCAACCAGTGTGCCTGGCTGTGCACAGTGGCTGGACCCTGCGCTCACTCACACACACACCCCTCATCATTCTGTGCCTGGCTCACCCTTGGCAGGTGTGGGATCCAGGCCTGTAGCATGAGCCAAGTGCAGCCTGCCAGGCTGAGTGGACAGATTGAGCTCAGTGGGCATGAGCAATACTCAGGCAGAAGGCACTACTGGCCACAGAGGTTTCCAGCTGGTGAAGTGACACCCCAAGGATCTCGTGACACAAAGACTTGTATACAAATGTTTGTAGTAGCTTTATTTGTACAAGCCAAAAACTAGGAGTACATGCTTTATGATTATGTTTATATAAAATTCTATGAAATTTAAACTAATCTATGGTGACACAAAGTACATCAGTGGTTTCCTGAGGACACAAGAGGGACAAGAAGGTAGAACTACAAAGGGTATGAAGAACCTTTTGTTGTGATGGATGTGTTCATTATTTTTATGTCACATGGCTTCATGTGACATGAAATATATCTACCAAACTGCACTGGTAGATATATATATATATATACACACACACACACACACACACACCAAATTGCACCCTTTAAATAGGTTCAGTTGACTGAATAGTAATTTACTTCAATAAAAATAAGAAAACTAGGTAGGCCTGTGAAAAAATTATATGTATATGTGGCCCTGTGTCACTGAGAATTGTTCAAAGTTTCTGTGAAGTTCATCTGGAAATGTTCAACAAGTGCTGATAAGCTGTTTCACTTTTTTGAGGTGTGAGTAGAGGAGGGCCAGGAATTCTACTCAAGGGAAATAATCCAAAAGGAAGAAATCAGTCTACACAAAGTTATAGTGTTACTATTCACAACTGTGAAACACTGGAAGTTACCTAAATGCTCTACAATTGGGGATTGATTGTAATCAATATGATTAAATTACCATATATATTTCAAAAATATTAGTTGCATGGACTATATCTGTGTATGGAAATAAATATATGGAGCCATTTAGTTAAAAAGTAGCACATAAAGAGTACACTCTGATTTAATCCATGTTGACATGTACAAATGAAAATTGACCATGATTGGAATATAAAGTGATGTAAATAGCTGATAATTTAGGTTTGTATTTTTTCCTTTTAGTATTATTAAAGTATTTAATTATTTAACTCCTATTATACCTTATAGAAGAAATAATACTGTATTACAAAATTTTAAGATGTATTTTACAAACTGACCATGCAATTAAATCTCAGCAGAGATATGACACCCCATAAGTAGTTACTGTTCTGAGGGATTTTAAAAGTCACACTTCGTGTGTGAGATCTCCCCCACTGAGCTGCTATGACACAACCCACTTATGAAATTGTCATCTTTCTATTTCTCCTTTGTATCAAGATGTTGATGATCCCTTAACATGCAATCATGTTACCTGGCAAAGTAGCACTTGGCAAAGTCCAAACTATTATCCTTTTAATATTTTGAATCTGAGAGGATCTCATCTCTTTCATCCTTAATCATGGTAATTTATATTTTCCACTTTTTTTCCAGATCTTTTTGACTAGAGCTTTAGAAATTGTATTGATCATCTCAGAACTAGATTTTTATTTCATTGAGTTTCACTATTGATTTTGTTTTACATTTAATTGTTTTCTGTTTTGATCTTTATTATGTTTTTTCTTATGCTTACTTTGAATTTTATTTGCTCTCCTTTTTCTATTTTTATTAAGGTGGAAGCCAAGGTTATAAATGGAGACTTTCTCTTTCTTCTAATATGAGCATTTATTGCTTTGAATTTCATCCTACATATTGTTTTGTGGCACCTCACAAATTCCGACATGTTGTTACCATTTTAATTTATTTCATGTATTTTAATTTCTCCTTTGATTTATTCTCATATCTATGGGTTATTTAGAAGGGTGTTATTTAGTTTCCAAATGTTTAGGAATTTTCCAGACATGTTCTGTATTCATTTCTAATTTAATTCCACTGTGGATAGAGAGCATACTTTGTATGACATACATCCTTTTAAACTTACTGAATTTAAAACTTGTTTTATGGCCCAGAATTGGGTCTATCAATCGTAATAATTGTTCTGTGTAAACATGAAAAGAATGTGTATACTGCCAAGAAGAGGAGTGTTCTAAAATTGTCCATAGGTTATTTTGATTGTTAGTGTGCTTCAAATTTCTATATCCTGATGATTTTCTCTCTACCTATTCTACCAGTTATTGAGAGAAGAGTATTGAGATATCTGATCAAAATTGTAGACTTGCTTTTTTTTCTTACAGCTCTATCAGTTTTTGCTTCATGTATTTTGAAGGTCTATTATTACATGCATAGAGACAGAACT
This sequence comes from Homo sapiens, assembly GCF_000001405.40. Lineage (NCBI taxonomy): Eukaryota > Metazoa > Chordata > Mammalia > Primates > Hominidae > Homo > Homo sapiens. The sequence continues at coordinate 31,565,663 of NC_000002.12, read as the reverse complement.
GGTATGTCCTCTTGATGAATTGATGCTTTTATCGTGATGAAACAATCTTCTTTATTCTTGGTAATATCTTGCTTTGAAATCTACTTTTGTCTTATATTAACTTAGCCACTACAGATTTCTTTTTACTAGGGTTAACATGGTATATGTATCTACCATGTTTATTCCAACATTTTACTTTTAATCTGTTTCTGTCTTTAGATTTAATGTGTGTGTCTCAAAGGTGGCATACTGTTCAATTTTTCTTTCCCCCTGCCCCTGCCATTCTGACAATCTCTGATTTTTAACTGGGATATTAGAATGTTTATATTTAATGAGATTATTTATACAGTTTGAATTATGTCTATCATCTTGCTATTTGTTTCCATTTGTGTCTCTGTTATTTGTTCCTATTTCCTATTTATATTCCATCTTTTGGATTTAGTATTATTTTATTTCAATTTATATTGTCAGTTTATTCATTATAACTCTTTTGTTAATTTGCTTAAAGGTTTATTGCATGTATCTTAAATTTATCAGTCTTCCTTAAGGTGATATTATACCACTTCAAGTATGGTATAAAAATCTGAAATAATGTACTTCCATTTCTTCTCTCTTGCCCTTATGTTATTGTTGTTGTTTTACTTACATATGTGCTATAAAAGCCTCAACTTATTACTATTATTTTTGTTTAAATCGTCAATTATCTTTTAAACAGTTTTAAATAAGATAATAAAAAAGTTATATATTTGCTTATGTGGTTGCCATATTTGATGCTTTTCATTTTTGAGGGTTGATTTATATTTCTATGTGGTATCATTTTTTCCTTTTACCTGAAATCAGAATTTATATTTCTGAAAGTGTTTTTATTTCTTGTTTTCGAAGATAGAAAATTCTAGGATATAGCAATCCAGATTGACAGCTGCTTTCTTTCATTACTTTAAAGATGTTTCACTGTCGTCTTGTTTGCATTATTTCCAACAAGAAATCTGTTCTTGCCCTTATCCTTGTCCTCTGTACTTAACGTATCTTCTTATCTTTGCCTACTTTTAATATTTTCATGTTATCACTGGATTTGAGATGTTGGGTTACTATATTCCTTGGTGTATTTATATTTCTTATTCTGGGCTTCCTTAAACTTGAATCCATGAGCTTGAGTCTTTCATCAAAATTGGACGATTTTCATACACTATTCTTCATTCCCTCCCTACTTCTCCTTTCTTTTGCTGAGGAAAATATCTATGAGACCTACATGTATATTAAACTGTCCTACAACTCACTGATGCTCTTTTCATTTTTGTGGATTCTTTTTTTTTTCTGTGTGCTTCTTTTGGGTAATTTCTATTGCTATTCTTCAAGTTCATAATCTTTTCTTCTACAATGTCTTATCTGTTGCTAATCCCATCTCTGGTATTTTTATCTCAGGGATTGTAGTTTCCATCTCTAGAATTTTGGATTTCGGTCTTTTTTTCTCTCTTCCATGTCCCTACTTAATTTTGTGAACACATGGAATGCAGTTATAACAGCTGTTTTAATATCATTGCTAACCTAATATCTGTGTCATTTCGGTGTCAGTTTTGACTGATTAATTATTTTTCCTATAATAAGCAGTGTTTTCCTCCCTTTTTGCATGCCTGGTAATCTTTGATTGGAGGGTCAGAAAATTGTACCTCATTGGGTGTTGGATATTTTTGTGTTTCTATAAATATTCTTGAGCTTTGTTCTGGGATGAAGTTAAGTTACTTGGAAACAATTTGATCATTTCAGGCTTTGATCTGATTTGTTCAGTGGTTCCAGAAGAGTGTTAATGCTAGGGCTAATTAATAATTTCCTCTGAGGTAAAGCCTTTTTGAGTATTCTACCCAATGTCTTATATGAGCTTTTCTATCTGGCTTATGGGTACAGGCTCTATTTGTGGCCATGTGTGATCACTGGATACTGTTCCCTTTAATTCTTTTGGGTGATTCTTTCCTCACACAAATGCATGAATTAACACTCTGCTAATACTTGAGGAAAATTCTCTGCAGGTCTCCGTGTGTCTCTGTCCTTTTCAGCACTCTGTCTTGAAAATTCTAGATGTCTTGATTTCTTGAAATCTCAATTTTGTTTTCTCAACTCAGGAAGTCTTTTAGCTTCTCCCTGGGATCCCCTTCCCTGTACCTCAGCCTGGAAGTTTTCTCAAACCAGGAAGCTGGGTCAGTTATGAGGTGGTGTGAGTCATTTTTTTCTTGCCACTCACTGTTTTTCATTGCCTAATATCCAGTGTTTTGTAAATAATTATTTCATATAACTTACCTTTTTTTTTTCTAGCCTGGAGGATAAATCCAATTCCTGTTATTCCTCCTTGACTGGAAGCAGAAGTGTCTCCAATGGGTTTTAGTATTTATCTTTGCTAATTGGATAATCTGCAATACTGGTTGATTTGTTGGTTTTAGTGACCTCTACTTGTACTCAATGTCATGTTTTTTTCCCCAAACTTTCCATCTTCAGGCTTGACGTGTAATGCTTTGGGACGTATTTTACTTAGAAGACTAAGTGGGATAGCAGAATGATGACTTCCTTTACATGAGTCCTGTGGCTCCATGTAGCTGCAGCTGGGAAGGTGGCTGTAGGACTATAGAGTAGGAGATAAAGAGTGGGAGATACCAACAGATGGTTATGAATGATTGGTTTGAAACTTTCACATGGAAAATTATGTTGCAGAAACCTCAGATTGTGCTTTTGTTCTTTTTTTGTTTGGTCCAAATGAACAATGGAATGGAGGTAGATGTAGGAGGGAGATATGCTGAGGTAGATCAATCTTTGAATGTTGCCTTTGATCAGGGCTACTGAATCCCTGGACATTTATTTATTTGTTTTAAAAATTTAATTCAGGGGGTACATGTGCAGGTTTGTTACATGGGTATATTGTGTGATGCTGAGGTTTGAGCTTCTAATGATCCCATCACGCAAGTGGTGAACATAGTACCCAATAGGTAGTTTTTCAACCCTTGCCCCTCTCCCTCCTTTTCCCTTTTGGAATCCCTGGTGTGTATTGTTCCCATCTTTGTATCAGGACAATATTTAAATGTAGGTGGAAACTTTTTAAAAGTTCTCAAATTTATGGCAATATCTAGGCCTCATTGCTGCAAAACTGTACAGAGCTGTTTGCTTCCAAATAACATCAGAAGACTTGGGATTGTTAATGGGTACATTAATATGATTAGATTGAATGAATAAGTTCTAGTATTTGATACAGACTGACTACAGTCAATAATAATTTATTACTCATTTAAAGATAACTAAAATAGTATAATTGGATTGTTTGTAACAGTAAGGATCAATATTTGAGGTGGTGGATACCCCATTTTACCCTAATGTGATTATTACACATTGCATCCTTGTATCAAAATATCTCATGTACCACATAAACATATACACTATATACCCACAAATATTAAACATAAAAATTTTTTAAAAAGGAAAAAAAAGACCTGTAAACCTGGGCTGCACTAAGAAGCTAAACAACTGAACTTAGAAAACCACAATTTTCTTTTTGCAAACATTGAGAAATAAAGGAGACAAAATTATAGCTCAGAGAAATGGCATGTATTTATCCAACAGTGAAAGTGCCTGTTATGTCCTTAGCTGCTCTTCATAGGCTTGCTGAGCTTTTTACTTCAAGCTGAAAACCATCCCATGTCAATATTTGTATTTTCTTGATTTTGTAATAATCAGTTAGCATGAGTGGCTGAGCAACTGTTGTTTCATGATGCCAAAATCCACCTCAAGTTGATCAATTTATAGAAAACGGTAAACTAGTTATTCAAATAAGTTGATTTAGTTACTCAGGCCATGAAGTTGATCTGATTCTCTTTGATTTTGATCTTCTGGGGTATTAAAAATTTTTTTAAAATGGAGCCAGTGGTCAGTAGCATGCCTATGGGAGGTTTCACTCCAATGATCATTATTCTTTCTATCATTCTGGGGAATCCTCAAAGTTTTTTAAAACCTTGGTAATTCATTAGATGTTTGGATTGAACATCTATTTTAATGTAGAGGCAGGAAGAAAGATACTGAGTGGACAGTTCCAAGGTCTCCCAGTATTACCAGGACATGCCATAAATACTTAAAAACATAAGCAGGGAACTTAAAGGTTTTCTGCTGTATTTTAGATATTCACAAGCTAATCATCTCAAAGATTTTGCATGATTTAAATGGATCTGCCAGATTAGGACCATTAGATAGTTAAAACCAGATAACATTTGCATGGGGTTGACAATGGGATGTGGCTGCCCTGTCTTCCAGCATGGCAGAGTAAGATGGGAAGAAGTCTTGAGTCATTGCTCTTTGGGGAAAATATCATTATATGTCTAGGAGGCCTTAATATTTGTCTTACTAGAGAAAGTAATTAGGTTAATATTGCTGTGCTAATAGAGTCTTGGAGCCTGAAAACTGGGCTAATCCACACTGTAAATACTGGAGGCCGTGTGTTTCCCCAGTTAGGGCACACTTGGAGAGGAGTCAGGTGTGCTCTTTTACAAATCTCATTGCATTATTATTGAGCTCTTGGAAAGGTGCTGAGTCTTCATTTTAGAAAAAGGGATTAGATGTGGAGGGAATCACTTTGCTTTCCCCAGGGAGGCATTTCTCTATTGCTTTTCTAGGGTTGGGATAGGTATATAGAAGGTTTGATTCTAGAATTTATAAAATGATATTCTGGGAACTTTGAGCAATATTTTAGGGAGGGCACCCATCCAAAAAACTAGATGAGTTGCTGCCTTTCTCTGCAACAGCCCTTAGGAGACTAGCTTCTGATCTTCTTCCTAAACTTGGTATCCAGTTTATTTTGCTTGTCTTCCTGCAGGCCATTCTTGTGGAGACACCGAGTAACAAAGTCTTGAAGTAATGTGTGACAAGCTCTGTAGGGCTATAGGATTATAGAGCAGCTACTCAGAGGGCAAGGGTATGAAGAAAAAGAGCAGGTGCATAAAAGGAACAGGGAAAGGGGAGTAAAAGGAAATGGGGAAAGAGGTTTAAAGGAGATACAACAGTAAAAAGAAGAAAAGCTGGGAAAGGAGAAAGGAAGCGCAGCAAAAAAGGTGGAAAAAGAAGAGAGAGTGCTGATGCAGGTTTTTCAGGGGCCTATATTGGGCAAAGCATTGAACAAGTTACACCCAAAGGCCAGGAGCCTGAAATCAGGTGCCGGTTCTCAAATAACAAGGGCTTATTAAGAATCAGTGCTATTGCCTAGGATAGTTAAACAGAAATACAAAAAGTGCTGGAGAAGTTCAGGGAACTGTGAGATATAGAGGGAAAATCAGGGGAAGATGGACAGGAGATGGGAGCTCTAGACACCCTTAGACATCTTGGTTTCAGGTTCATTGGTCAGAACTCTCTCCCCATCCCCACAGTCTATCTAGATGCTTACATCAAAGGCAATGCTTGCTTGACAGATTTCTAAATAGCAGTAGCAACAAGATGGAAAGAAGAATGGAATGTCCCATTAGAGGATATAGGGCCAGGACTTCAGAAAGAGTTCATATATATTAATCACATGTCTTAGAATATCCTGGAGCACCTGTCCTCTCACCTACCTAAAATACTTGATTCCCAATGGTCAATGACTTTTTAAAAAAAGGGGGGGGGGGGGATTGGTATGTACATAGATATTGTGGGAACGTACAATTTTTTAAAAAGTGATGATAAAGTTCTATAGGTACCTTCACAAACCACTCTGTTCTACTTAAATCTTAACAGTTCCTGGAGGAAACTTTGAGATTACTCTTCAGAGCTTACTTTGGTGGTTGGGGTGTGTTGTATGGCTTTGTGTGTGTGTGTGTGTGTGTGTGTGTGTGTGTGTGTGTGTGTGGGTTTGTTTACTTTTACTTATGGGCACTGATGTATTGGTTACTAGAAAGTTCATAGATAAATTTTTGTCCTATTCAGTAGACAAACATACCTGACTTGTTGACATAGAGTCTAGGTGCTAACTTCATTAGTCAATTCACCTTACTTTCATATCTTTATTTTCATTTGCCTCCTTTTTCTTTAAATTTTAGGCCATCTTACAGCACTTTATACATCTATGTTTATGGCCTTAAATCTTTTCTTTTTCTTTTTTTAAGAGCAATTTGGGAAGAACTAAAATAAAATTGAAATACAAATCAACATTTTTTGTTTTATGCAAATGTATGTTAAAATATTCAAAGAATAAAGAGGTTTTTTAAAGAATAGTAGGTTCTAGCACGGCTCAGTTAAAATATGGTATCACTTAGTAAGAAACACTTTCTAAAAAACAATTTATATTAGCCATAATTAAGAAAAAAAGGGATATTGAATAAGTCAAAGAGTGGTTTCCAGGGAAGTCTTTCTTTGTCTGGAAAGATACCATAGGATTTTCTGCAGACAGCTTACTCATTTTTTTCTTGATTGAAATCTGGAAAGGAAAACTTGCAAGAAAACATTCCATTCTGGACTCGGCAGCAGGTCAAGCCAAAGTGGCAACATTTGCAGCCTGGAGATCACACAGTCTGGGAGCTCAAACATTTAGGCAATAAAAGCTGATGGAAGCCAAAAAGCCACGCCACTGGCATCTGGTGTCAGGGTAGCTGCTGGGGGAGATCTGGCCATGGTGGTGGGGCCCAGCCATATAAACAAGTTCAGAGGTAGAACTGGAGCTGTGTACTGGGTTGAAGCATGTCTCTCCTAAATTCATGTTTTCTCTAGAACCTTAGACTATGACCTTATTTGGAAATAGGGTCTTTGCGATGTCATGCATTGCTTAACATTGTGGTTACATTCTGAGTAATGTGTTGTTAGGTGATTTCATCATTGTCCAAACATCATAGAGTGTACTCACACAAACCTAGACGGTACAGTCTCCTACACACCTAGACCATATACTATATCCTATTGTTCCTAGGCTGCAAACCTCTACAGCCTGTTACTGTACTGACTACTGTAGGCAATTGGGGTACAATAATCTAATGAGACTATAATCATATATTTAGTGTGCCATTGACCGAAATGTCATTATGATGCATGACTGTAGTTAAGATGAGGTCATACTGGATTAGGTAGGTTCTAAATCCAATGTGACTAGTGTCCTCATAAGAGGAGAGAAACAGACACAAACACAGGGAAACACCGGGACGATGGCCATCTGAAGACAGAGGCAAACATTGGAGTGATGCAATGACAAGCCAAGGAATGCCAAGGACTGCAAACCATTGCCAGAAGCTAGGAACACTCAAGTAAGGACTCCTCCCTAGAGCCTTTAGAGGAAGCATGGCTCTGCCAACCCCTTGATCTCATACTTCCAGCCTTCAGAACTGTGAGACAATACATTTCTATTGTTTTAAGCTATCCAGTCTGCGGCAATTTGTTATGGCAGCCTAGGAAATTAACACCAGGCATACTTCAGAGCAGGACAGGTCAAGGGATAACCAAATAGGTCTCCTGTTACTAGAATTATTTACAATGTCAGAGTAGTTCTTGATGTTTACTTGGCCCTCTCTTGGCAAAGGCTCTTTGTATTTTCCTACACTAAAGGTCTGGCCAAGTAGGGGTTCAGATTCTCTTCAAGTATAGAAACTCCCCCCGATTTTTATGTTTGCTGGCCTTCCAAGTAAGATTTCCATTGAAGAAAATGCTCCATGGCTAAAAAGCTTTAAAATCCATTGGTATTATCGGCAGATTTGGACTCTATAGAGCCTAGTTTCTAAAGTGCTTCATAGTGCCGATCTGAAAGTGAGATAGCACTAGTCCTATCAGAGGATTGTTCAACCTGAGACTCTGCATCAGAAGGTCAGGCAGCACTGACCTGTGTCAGGCCTGGAGCAGGCTCTAGGAGGCTGCTTTCGTGATGAGTTCCTTTTTGTTCAGGAGAATATAAGGAAGCTGGTCCTATTTTAGAAGCAATAACAGCCTTTGAGTTTGCTCTAGGGCAATTGCAAAATCAAGAGCCCCCAGGGTGCTGTACTCCAGATTTCTAGGTCACAGATATCCAGACCAGAGTTGACCAGAAATTGGCCAGAATGGGTTCTGGGGATGTGGATGAATTTCCATTTCTCATCCATTCCTACTCCATCTCCATTTTATCATTCTCCATTCCTACTCCCTCAATACCAAAATTAAAACAAATTGTTGATTACTAGGTAGCCTTCACATTGAGTTTTTCCTATGGTATAACCCTTGAAAAAAATTGATCAACCAGACCATTACAAGAAAAAAAATTATGGTTTTACTGAGTTAAGCCTTTTACTAGGTTTTGCGGTCCAATTTCTCTGTGTAGACATAGACTTGGAAAAGCCAAAACATCTAAGCAATGCAAATTTAAACAAATTAGTTAAATCTGCCACTGGGAGTCATTATGTCATTGGCTTTTAACCTGGCTGCACATTAAAATCATCTGGGGGAACCCTTAAAATGACTTCTGCTCAAAGTCATGTGCCCAAGGTTGTGATTAATTTGTCTTCAGGGTGATTCCTCCCCTTTAATATTTCTAAAGCCACTCAGGTGACTTGCTTGTGCAACCAGGGGTGTAATCCTCTGATGTGGACATGTGACTGCAATAGAGGAAAATGCTAGAGAGCAGATACTCTGGAATCAGTGCCACCTGGACTTGAATCCCAACTCTGATATCTCATAATTATGTGACCTTGGGCTAACTTAGTCTCATTGTGCCTCAGTTTCCTTCTCTGTAGAATGGGAATAATAATACCTATCTCCTAGGGTTGTTATAAAGATTAAATGAGTTAATATGGGCAAAGTACTTAGAACATTGCCTGGAACATAGTACGCAATATATAAATATTAGTTGTCTGTCGTCCTTTGCTGACATTTCCCTTACTGGATGTCTGAACTGAAATTGATCTCAATAGTGTAATATTACTCCAACAAGTTATATTAACTTCCTGTGACTGCTGTAATAAATTACCACAAAGTGGCTTAAAACAAAATAAATCTTACTCTTACTATTCTGAAGGCCAGAAGTCTGAAATCAAGGTGTCAGCAGGGCCACACTTCTTCTGGAAGCTCTGAAGGAAAACCTGCTCCTTTCCTCTTTCAGCTTCTGGTGGCTATTGGCATTCCTTGGCTTGCGGTCACATCTCTCTTTGCTTCATCTTCATATTACTTCCTCCCCTGTGTGTCTTTCTTCTCCTGGTATTTCTTGTATAAGAATCCATGTGTTTGCATCTAGGGCCCACGTGGATTATACAGGATGAGCTGCTTTTCTAAGGATTCTTAATGTAGTCACATCTTTTGCCATAGAAGATAATATTCACTTTTTTTTGCTATCATAAGGTACTATTCATAAGTTCCTGGAATTAGGACATAGAGATATCTTTTTGGGGTCTACCATTCAACCCACTATACAAGATGGCATAATAAAAAGTAAGCTTGGATGGGAGGCATCACTGACTCATTCTGTGTTTAGTGGACTTCACATTTGGCCTGCACATCCCATTCTCTAATATGTCTAAAACCATTATTTACACAACAGGTACCATCCAAATATACAAACAAGTGACTATTTATTGTCAATGTTTGTAGTTACTTCTCGGCAAGGACCCACAGAAGTGGAGCAAGTGCTCAGAGGACTGGTTGGCCCAATGGCCTTTGGCATATAGAGAGCTCCAACAAGGAAAGGCTTCCTGGTGGTTTTGCTCCAAAGAGAACAATTTTTTGAGAAACTCTATTTTGTGCTAAAATGTGTACCCAAAATCTCACCAATGATGGCTGTTTTTTATTTTGTTTTCATTTTAGAGATATGATCTCACTATATTGCCCAGGCTGGCCTTGAACTCCTGGGCTCAAGAGATCTTCCTACTTTACCCTCCCGAGTAGCTAGGACTACAGGCTGCATGACTACGCCTGGCTAATTTTGGGTTTACATTTGGAAAAGTCTGATGCTTATTTTAAAAGAGAACAGGGTGATGCTACATTATCAGGACATGTTTTCTGTCCCAAGTGATAGAAAAATCAATCTGAATAGGCTTAAGTGAAACCCTAATTTATTAACTCTCATAACTGGAAAATTCCAGCTTCAGGTCCAGATCAATGCAGTGGTTCCAAAGATACTATCAGGACCTGGTTTCTTTCTCCAGCTCTTGGCTCTACTTTTGCTGGCTGTAGTTTCAGAAAGGCCGTCCTTAGGTACTGGCAAGACAACTGTACTAAGACCTACATTCTCTCAGGTTCAAGGCACATGAAAATAAACAGTCCTAGAAAAAAATGTAAGCAAAACCTTACCGAGATTTGTTGGGTTGAATACTCATGCCTGAGACAACCAATGTGATAGCACCCCTTCCTGTTCTGTTTGGCCGAGGACCTTGGAAAGGATGACCCCTCTTAATACATGGGCTAAGACTGTGGAAAGAGGTAGGTCTGTTCTGAAGAACCAGTGTAGGTACCATCAGAAGGGAGAATGAATATTGGGTGGCAAATACAACAGATGACCACTGTAGATGCAATTAGGTCCTTGGACTAAAATGTCTGAAATCCAAACCTGGGTTTTCTTGAGCGACATGTGGGATTTTTTTTTTTTTCTAGTTGTGTGTGTTGGTCACAATTTCCCTTTCCACTTGGAAATAAGTGAGTTATTTTGAAGCAGAAGACCCACATTTAAATTCCATCTCTGCTGCCTCTTTGTAGCTGTGTGGCCTTGGGCACATTACCTTATGTCTGTAAGCTTTAAATTCTTCACTGGCCTGGCGGTAACACACACACACACATACACACACACACACACACACACACACACACACACACACACACACGATCAGGATAGAGGCCATCTTACCAGGACTATTCATCACCAGGGCACATAAACAGAATAAGCCTACATGAACACAGTCTGATTGATACCGAAGAACCATCTGTCCCTACATATTTTTCATGGTCCTGAAACATGTTGGAAATTTCTACCATTTGAGTAATGGAAGGAATGTTTAAAGCAACATGTTTCCAGAGAGCCAGGTGAAAAATGCAAATTGATGCCAGGGAAAAGCAAAATGAAATCCTGCATCACTGACTACTCCTTATCCGCCACCTTAGAAGGGATGAGCCAAAGTCACCTTGTGTGATCATTCTCAACATGCAAGGCAACCATCAAGAGACTTCAGGCAAAATGATCTTTCTGTTTTTCCACATTTGTTTTAGGATTCTTCTCTAACTGCTTCTCCTGAGGCAGTGTTCCCTGGGGATATCCAATACCACAGGGAATGTCCATATTGAAAAACTATACCTAGAGCTCTTCTTTCTCCAAGTTGTCTCCAGTTGCAAAAATGACCTCTTCATCTCCGTAATCACAGTGCTCATTTTCACAGTGGAGTTGCTATTAGGTAGGGCAAGTACCATCTGATTATGAATTGATTAAAGCATTCATATTAAGCATGTGTGAGTGACAGGCTCAACTTTTTTTTCAGGGAGTTAGTGTTTATCTTCAATCTTCTAGATTGAGGTAAGACATTTTTTGAGAAAGATACCCGGGTCTTTTTCCCTTTCTCCTAGATCGGTTGCAAGTGTACTCACAACAGATGTTATGTGGTATTCTACTTCTAAAAGACTGTTGGCCGTAGGTTTTAGCTATCACTTGGAAGATAACAAGTAGTAGAATTATCCTTCCTGTTATGGGTAGGAAGGAATTCCTACGGATAGGAATTATCTCAAGATCCCTCACAGATGTGCACTATCATGCTCCAAAAGGTTTATTTTTCCTAGAAATTGACTAGCCTTCAAGTCTTTTCAGTTCTCTTATCAAAACTTACTACTCCTTTGTCCAAACCCTTTACTATTCCTTTGTCCAAACCTCCGTAACCCCTGTTACAGCAGCCACAGGGAGCTAATATACCTTGTTGGAGTTATATTAGACCATTGAAATCAATTTTAGTTCAGACATCCAGTAAGGGAAATCTCAGCAAAGGACCACAGACAGCTAATATTTATATATTGCTTACTATGCTTACTATTCCTTTGTCCAAACTCCTCAAATATCCTTCCTTTAGATTGCAGAGTAGTATTCTGTGGTGTGGACCTACCTCAGTTGAATTGGCAGTTTTATTTTTCTTCAGCTGTTTGAATGTGTCATTCCACTGTCTTCTGGTGTGTAAGGCTTCTTATGAGAAATCTGATGGTATTATTGATGTGTCCTTGTATGTGACGTGTCACATTTCTCTTGCTGCCTTCGACAATTTCTTTGTCTCTGTATTTTGGCAATTTGATTGTAATGTGTCTTGGTCTAGATTTCTTTATATTCATCCTATTTGTGGTGCTTTCAGCTTCATGAATCTGAGTGTTCATTTCCCTTCTGGAATTTGAGAAATTTTCAGTGATTGTTTCTTTAAATAAGCTTTTTTTCCTATTGTCTCTCTGCTTTCCTTCTAGAATCACCATAATGTATATATTTGTTGTCTTGATGATGTCTCATATGTCCCTTAGGCTTTCTTAACTCTTTCATTCTTTTTTCTTTTGCACTTATAACTGGATAATTTCAAATAACTTGTCTTTGAGTTCACTGATTCCTTCTTAGGTTTGATCAATTCTGTGTTTGAAGCTTTCTATTGATTGTTTTTCTTTCAGCAATTAGATTCCTCAGATGCAGAATTTGTCTGGTTCTTTGTATAGTTCCTATCTTTTTACTGAGAATCTCATTTTTCAGGTATTACTTTCCTGATTTCCTTTGGTTGTTCATATGTTTCCTCTCGTAACTCATTAAACTTCTTTATGATAAGTATTTTGAATTCTTTGTCAGGCATCTAAAAGATCTCCACTTCTGTAGGGTTGGTTGCTGGAGATTTGTTTTTTCCTTTGATTGTGTCATGTTTCCCAGATTTTTTATGTTTCTTGTAGCTTTGCCTTGGTGTCTGCACATTTGAAAAAACAGCCATCTCTCCCAGTTTTTATGGAGTGGTGTTGACAGTTAAAGACCTTCATCAATTAGCCCAGCTAGAGATTTGGAGAGCCTCTCACATAGCAAGCTGACTGCCTCTTTTCCTTTGTTCTTAGCTGCCCCCATCAAACTATACTCATTCTGTCAGTCCTTTGGGTTGAGTGGAACAGGGACTGGCATTCTTCTGGCAATGTAGTGAAAGACCAAGAGGTTGGAGGTATACACCACTCTTCTCTCTTCTTGGTGAGATGCCTAGGTTCTGCAATTTCTCCCAATCTCACAGAGCTCTGCTATCCTGTAACAATCTGTTTACGCCCTTTCCATTGTTGAGTTGACCGAGGGGTCCAAACTATGGCAGTACTGTCAATGTTCCATGTGGGGCAAGATAGAAACTGTCCCCTTGGACAATTCACTGAAAGACTGGGATGCCGGATGGTCATTCCACTTCTCTTCCCCTCCTAATGAGAGAAGTGTGGGTTGAGGCAATATCCCTTGGCATTGATCTGTGCTGGCTTTGGGGAGAGGCTGACATAGGTAAAGTGTAATTGCTCTTCTTATTTGTTTTAATGTGGCTGTTCTTCATTTTGTGCTCATCTAGGATGCTTGCAACTTCTCATAAAAGTAGTCTCACAAAGGTATTTTGGTGTGTATATTATTGTTAGCTTGATGTTTCTGTGGAATAATGAGGTGAGGGACCATTTATTCTACCATCTTGCTGATATCACTCCCCTGAAGTGCAAAAGTTTTAAATTTTGATGAAGTCCAATTTATGAGTTTTCCTTTTATGGATGGTGCTTTTGGTGTCAAGTCTGAGACCTCTTTGCTTAGTCCTAGATCCTGAGGATTGTCTCCTGACTGAAAGGCTAATTTTCCTCCATTGATTTGCTTCTCCACCTTTATAAAAAATCATTTGAGCCTATTTTTATGGCTCTATTTCTGGGTCCTATATTCTGTTTTGTCAATCTATGTGTCTATCCCACCACCAACAGCACATAGTCTTGATCACTATAACTATTTAATAAGTCTTAAATCTGATAGGAACTCTGACTTTTTTTTTCCAATTATTTTAGTTATCCAAGTTCCTTTGACTTTCTGTATACAGATGGTCCCTGAAATTCAACAGTTCTACTTAAAACTTTTTGACTATATGAAGGTATGAAAGCAAAATGCATTCAGTAGAAACCATACGCAGTGTCCACACACTGTTCTGTTTTTCACTTTTAGCACAGTACTATTAAATAAATTGCATGACATATTCAACACTTTATTATAAAATAGGCTTTGTGCTAGATTATTTTGCTGAACTGTAGGTTAATGTAAGTGTTCTGAGTAAGTTTAAGGTAAAGCAAGCTAAGCTGTTATATTTGGTGGGTTAGTTGTATTAAATGTATTTTCAACTTCTGATATATTGAAAACAATGGTTTTATCAGGAAGTAATCTCATTGTAAGTTGAGGAGCATGTGTACATTTTAGAATTATCTTGTCTATATTTTTTAAAAATTTCTGGGATGTAATAAAAATTGCATTGTCATTTTGGGGGAGAATTAATATCCTTGCTATATTGAGTCTTTTAATCCATGAACATGATATGTCACCATTTAAAAAAGATCTTTAATTTATTTTATTAATTCTTTGGAGTTTTCACTATAGAACCCTTGTACATGTTTGGTTAGATTTACAACAAAATATGGTAGTTTTGGGGTCATCGTAAATTTGGTGATATTTTTAAATTTCAGTGTCAACATATTCATTAGTAGCAAATAGAAATTTAATTGTGTATTTTGTATCCTGCAAATTCACTGAAATAATCTATTAGAAGTGAGGGGTTTTTTTCTGTATATTTTTGGGGATTTCCCACATAGATAATCATGTGATTTGCAAATGACTTTTATTTCTCCTTTTCTAATCTATAAATTTTTTTCTTACCTTATTACACTGACTAGAATTTCTAGCATGTTGTTGAATAAAAGTAGTAAGAATGCACATCTTTGTCTTGTTCACGATCTTAAGGAAAAAACATTCAGTTACTGACTGTTCGATATAATGTTAGCTGTAGATGTTCCTTATCAAGTTCAGGAAGTTTTCCTCTACTCTTATTTTCTATTTCTTATAATTTTATCATTAATAGAAATTGAATTTTATAAAATTTTTAAATGATTGATATAATCAGGTTATTTCTCTTTTTTTATTCTGTTAATAAGGTGGGTTACATCAATTGATTTTTAAGTATACCAGCCTTGCATCTCTGAACTATATCTCCAGTTGGTCATGCTATATAATTCTTCATATAGAATTACTGAATTCTGTTTGTTAAATGTTTTTGCATCAATTTTTATGGGGACTAGTAGCCTGTAATTTTTTTCTTGTTCTTCTTTGCACTGTCTTTATCTGGTTTATCTTTACCTTTTTTTTTTTTGGATTAGGGTAATACAAGCTTTATAAAATGAATTGAGAAGCTCTTCTATTTTTTGGAAGAAATCACATAGAATTGGTATTAATTACTTAAATGTTTGGTAGAATTCTGCAGTAAAGCCATCTGGACAAGGATATCTCTATTTTGGGGATATTGAAAATTAAGAAATAAATTACCTAGTTTATTTTTTAAAGTGGTTACAAAAAACAAAGATGAATGTAGTTTTTAATTTACCTTGAGACTTGGTCTTTGATCCATGAATTATTTAAAAGTATGCTGTTTAGTTTCTAAGTTTTGGAGAATTTCTTGTTATTATTATGTCTGATCTCTGTTTTGTTTCTATTATGGCCAGGTGACATATTCTGTATAATTTTACTTTTTAAAAATTTGTCTAGGATTGCCTTATGATATAAGATGTGGTCTACTGTGGTATATATCCCATGGCCACTTGAAAAGAATGTGCATTCTGCTGTTGTTTGATGCTGTGTAATAGAAATGTTGATTATATCTTGTTGGTTGATAGTGTTGTTGAGTTCTTTTATATCTTTGCTGATTTTCTAGTTTTCCTAGTTTTCTGGTTTTCCTATCTATGGTTTAGAAATGGGTGTTGAAGCCTTCAGCTTTAATAGTAGATCTATTTATTTTTCCTTCTGGTTTTGCTTCATATAATTTGCCAGTTTGTTGCTTGATGCACACACATTTAAGACTTCTATATCTTCATGGTTAACTTACCATTTTATCATTATATAATGTCCCTCTCTAATTCTGGTAATTTTGTTTGCTCAGAGTCTACTTTATCTGAAATTAGTATAGTAACTCTACTTCATTTTTACTTTTAACATTTATTATTTTTTATTGTGGCAAAATACACATAATAGAACTTAACATTTGAACCATTTTGAGTGACATTAAATACATTCTTAATGTTGTGCAACCATCACTTCTATTTAGCTCATGACTCTTTATCTTATAAAACTGAAACTCTGTACCTAGTAAGAAAATAATTCACGCCTGTAATCCCAGCACTTTGGAAGGCCGAGGCGGGTGGACCATGAGGTCAGGAGATTGAGACCAACCTGGCTAATATGGTGAAACCCCCTCTCTACTAAAAATACAAAAAATTAGACTGGTGTGGTGGTGGGCACCTATAGTCCCAGCTACTTGGGAGGCTGAGGCAGCAGAATCGCTTGGACCTGGGAGGCGGCGGTTGCAGTGAGCCGAGATTGTGCCACTGCACCCCAGCCTGGGTGACAGAGTGAGACTCCATCTTAAATAATAATAATAATAATAATAATAATAATAATAATAATAATAATAATTCCCTCTACTTCCAGCCCCTGGAAGCCACCATTCTACTTTCTGTTTCTATGCTTTTGACTACTTTTAACTACCTCATATAAGTGAATCATATGGAATTTGTCTTCTCGTGACTGGCTTATTTCACTTAGCACATTGCTCTCAGGGTTCATCCATGTTATAGTACGTGTTAGAATTTTCTTCCTTTATAAAGCCATTGTAAGTATATACCACATTTTGCTTATCCATTTATTCATCTGTCAATAGACACTTGATTGCTTCCACATTTTAGCTATTGTGAATAATGCTTCTATCAATGTGTGCACAAATATTGCTTCAAGACCCTGTTTTCAGTTCTTTTAGATGCATATTCAGAAGTGGATTTGCTATGTCATGTAGTAATTCTATTTTTAATTTTTGAGTAACCACCATATTGTTTTCCTCAGTGGCTGCACCATTTTACATTTCTACTATCAGGGCACAAGTGTTCCAGTTTCTCCACATCTTTGCCAAGACTTGTTATTTTTTGTTTTCTTAATAGTAGCCATCTTAATTGGTTTGGTTGGAGATGGTATCTCATTGTAGTTTTGATTTTAATTTCCCTAAAGATTAGTGATGTTGAGCATCTTTTCAGGTTCTTATGGGCCATTTGCATAGCTTCTTTGGAGAGACATTTATTCGAGTCCATTGCCCAATTTTTTGTTGTTGTTGTTGAGTTTTAGGAGTGCTTTATATATTCTGGATGTCAATCTCTTGTCAGATATATGCTTTGCAAATACTTTCTCCCATTCTGTGGGTTGCCCTTTTCCTCTATTAATAGTGTCTTTGATGTACAATTTTAAAGATTCTCCATGAAGTTCAGTTTTTCTGTTTTTTCTTTTGTTGGCTGCACCTTTGGTAGCATATCCAAGAAATCACTGCCAGATACAGTATCATGATGCTTTTGTCCTACGTTTTCTTTTAAGAATTTTATAGTTTTTTTCTTATATTTAGGTCTTTGATCAATTTTGAGTTAATTTTTCTATATAGTATTAGGTAAGGGTCTAATTTATTTATTTTGCATATGGATATCCAGTTTTCCCAGCATGATTTGCTGAAAAGACTGTTCTTTCTCCACTGAATGGTCTTGACATCTGTTTTAATCAGGGTTCTTCAGAGAGACAGAATTAATAGGAGATATATATCTATATCTATATCTGTATCTATCTAACTATATCTATATCTATCTATCTATCTATCTATGTAGAGAGAGGCGGGGGAGATATAAGAAAGGATTTATTAGGGGAATTGACTCACTTGATTATGTAGGCTGAGAAGTTTCATAACAGATCATCTGTAAGCTGGAGTGCCAGGGAAGCTGGTAGCATGGCTCATTCCAAGTCTGATGGCCTTAGAACCATGGAAGCCAATGTTGCAATTCTCAGTCCAGGACTGAAAGCCCGAGAGCCTGGAGAATTGCTGGTGCAAGTCCTAAAGTCCAAAGACCAGAGAATCTGAACTTGTCTCATGATACAAATATAATCTACCATGGTATATAGCCCATGTACACTTGAAAAGGGTAGAAGAAATGAATTCTGGCTCCAGAAGACAGATCAAGAATTTGTCCTTCCTTTACATTTTTATTCCATCACCCACATTGAGGGCAGATCTTCTCCACCCAGTCCACCAACTCAAATGCCAATCTCTTCCAGAAACACCCTCACAGATGCACCTGGGGTAGCCCAATCATTAGAATCAAATGCTAAATCACTTGGGTTTCCCTTTTACAGAAGGGAGACATGATCAGTTTCTACTGAAGCATTGAGAATAATTTGTACTTTATCAGCTGCTGGGTATCCCTTAATCCAGTCAAGGTCACATCCAAAATCAACCATCATAGCACCCTTGTCAAAAATCATTTAACCATATATATTAGGGTTTATTTCTGGACTCTGTATTGTATTTCACAGGTCTATGTGCCTTTTAGACTTTTATTTTTATTTTTATTTTATTTTATTTTATTTTTTGAGATGGAGTTTCACTCTTGTTGCCCAGGCTGGAGTGCAATGGCGCCATCTCGGCTCACCACAACCTCTGCCTCCCAGGTTCAAGTGATTCTCCTGCTTCACCCTGCCTAGTAACTGGGATTACAGGCATGTGCCACCACGCCTGGCTACTTTTTTGTATTTTTAGTAGAGACAGGGTTTCTCCATGTTGGTCAGGCTGGTCTTGAACTCCTGACCTCAGGTGATCCGCCCTCCTTGGCCTCCCAAAGTGCTGGGATTACAGGTGTGAGCCACTGTGCCCAGCCTATTTTTATTTTTTTTAACTTTAAAATAAAGTTGAGGGGGCACATGTACAGGTTTATTACATGGGTAAGTTGCACGTTGCTGAGGTGTGGTGTACAAACGATCCCATCACCCAGTTAGTGAGCATTGTAGCCAACTGGTAGTTTTTCAGCCCTTAGCCCCCTCTCACCCTTCCCACTTTATTAGTCCCCAGTGTCTGTTCTTTTTGTCTTTATGTTCAAGTGTACTCAACGTTTAGCTCCTACTTATAAGTGAGAATGTGCAGTATTTGTTTTCTGTTCCTGTATTAATTTGGCTTTGAATAAAGGCCTCTAGCTGCATCCATGTTGCTGCAAAGGACATAATTTAATTTTTTATGGCTGCATAGTATTCCAAGATGTATATGTAACATATTTTCTTTATCCAGTCCATCATTAATGGGCATCTAGGTAGATTGCATGTCTTTGTCTTTATAGGCTTTTATTGTCTATATGCCAGTACTATATTGCTTTGATTACTATAGTTTTTAGTAAGATTTGAAATCAGGAAATGAGAGTCCTCAATATTTTTTCTCCTTTTTCAAAATTGTTTTGGCTTTTTGATGTCTCTTGAGATTCCATTTGAATTTTATAGTGGACTGTTTTATTTCTGAAAAAAAAAAGTCATTGGAATTTTGATAGGGATTGTATTGAGTCAATAGATTGTGTTGGTAGTATGGACATTTGAAAAATATTGTCTTCCAGTCCATGAACATGGAATGTTTTCCATTTTTATATTCTTCTTTAACTTCTTTCAGCAATATTTTATAATTTTTTACTGTACAAGTCTTTCACGTCTTTAGTTAATTCCTAAGTATTTTATTTGTTTTGATGCTATCGTAAATGAGACTTTCTTAATATCCTTTTCATATTGTTTATTGTAAGTGTATAGAAATGCAACTGATTTTTGTGTGTCAACTCTCTATCCTGCTACTTTGCTTAATTCGTCTATTAACAGTTTTTTAAAAATGTATGTGGAATCGTTAGAGTGTTCTAGACACATGATCATATCATCTGTAAGCAGAGATAATTTTAGTTCCTTCTTTCTGATTTGTATCTCTTTGATTTCTTTTCCTTGTCTAATTGCTCTGGCTAAAACTTCTAGCACTATGTTGAATAGAAATGGCAAAAGCAGCACCCTTGCCTTGTTCCTGATTTTAAAAGAAGAGCTTTCATCTTTGAGTACGTTTGCTTTGGGTTTTTAATATACAGATTTTATTATGTTGAGGAAGTTGCCTTCCATTCTCAGTTTGGTTGGTGCTTTTATCATGAAAGAGTGAATTTTTCAAATGCTTTTTCTGCATCAATTAATTGACCACGTGTTTTACCCTCTGTAAGCCTGACAACGCTATGGATTACACTGATTGATTTTTGTATTTTGAGTTATCCTTGCATTCTAGAATTAAGTCTTACTTGATCATGGTCTATAATTCTGTTTATATGCTGCTCAATTTGGTTTGCTAGTATTTTGTTTAAAAAATTGCTTTGATGTTCATAAAAAATACTGCTCTATAATTTTCTTTTCTGATAGTGTCTGTGTCTAAATTTGGTGTCAGAATAATGCTGACCTCATAGAATAAGTCAGGAAGTGTTCTCTCTCCTCTTCATTTTTTTTTTGGAAAAGTTTGAGAACAATTGGGGTTAGTTCTTTAAATGGTAGAAGTATTTCTACTATTGGTAGAATTCACCAGTGAAACTGTTAGATCAAGGGCTTTTTTTTTCATTATGAGATTTTGATTTTTGATTACTTATGTAATCTCCTTACTAGTTATAAGTCTTTTCAAATTTTCTATTTCTTTATGATTTAGTCTTGGTAGGTTTAGTATTTCTAGGAATCTGAACTTTTTCATGTAGGTTATCCAATTTTGGGGGGTACAATTGTTCATAGTGCTGTCTTAGAATTCTTTTTATTCCCATAGAATAAGTAGTAATGTCCCACTTTTATTTATGATTTTAGTAATATGAGTCTTGTCTCTATTTTTCTTAGTCAATCTAAGTGTAGAATTGTCATTTTTAAAAAAAATTTTTAAAGAAGGAGCATTTGGTTTTATTGGTTTTACCCTTGTTTTTCTATTCTTGATTTCTTTGATCTTTGTTCTAATCTTAATTATTCCTTCTTTCTGGTAGCTTTGGGTTTAGCTTATTCTTTTCTAGCTCCTTAAGTTGTAAAGTTAGTTGGCTGATATAGGATCTTCCTTGTTTTTAATATAATCATTTGTAGTTTCAAATTTCATGCTTAACACTACTTTTGCTGCATCCTATAAGTTTTAGTATGTTATGTTGTCATTTTCATTCATATCTAAGTATTTTCTAATTTCCCTTTGCTTTCTCTTTTGATCCATTAATTTTTTTAAAGAATGTGTTTTAAAATTTTCACATATTTATAGATTTTTCAGTTTTACTTTTGTTATTGATTTCTAACTTTATCCTGTTGTGGTCAGAGTTGTTTTGTATATTTCTGTTAGATCTAGTTGGTTTATTGTGTTAAGTTCTCTATGTCATTACTTATATTCTGTCTAGTTATTCTATTCATTTTTGACAGTGTGGTATTGAATTCTTTAACTATTATTGCAGAAATGTCTCTTTTTACTTCAATTCTGAAGTTTTCACTGTCTTTATTTTGATGGTCTGTCATTAGGTGCATAAATGCTCATAAGTCTTCTATCTTCTTGCTATACTGAACCTTTTAAGATTAAGTACTTTTTTTGTTTCTTGTAACCATTTTTAAAAAAATTTAAAGTCCATTTTGCCTGTTAGTACAGCCACATCTGCTCTTTTTTCATTTCCATTTGCATGAAATGTCATCTTCCATTTTTCCACTTTCAATTTATTTGTGTCTTTGGAGCTAAAGTGAGTCTCTTGTAAACAGCATATATTTGGATCATTTAAAAAATCCATTCTGCTCATCTATATTGGTTGAAGAGTTTAATACATTTTCATGTATGCTATTACTGAAAAGGAGGAACTTACTTCTATAATTTTTATATTTGTTTTCTCTACACCGTATAACTCCCCATCCCTTGTTCCCTTTTGTATATATTCTATAGCTATTTTCTTTGCAGTTACCATTGGAATTACATTTAACATCCTAAATTTATAACATTCTAACTTATAAACCAGCTTAATTTCAATAACATAAAACTCTGCTACTTTAACAGCTCCTTCCCATCTCTCTTTGATTGTTAATGTCACAAAATTGCAACTTTATATATCATGTGTCACAAAACATAAATAATTCCTTGAAATGCATTAAACTCTTCTATGGAAAAAATAATGAGTTAGAAACCATAGTTTCAGTGATATTAACTTTTAGACTAATAATTGTTTTTTTAAAAAGTATTAGTTTCTTAAATCATGTACAGAACACAAAGTCAAGAAACATTGTTATAATAATACCACCTTTTACAATGTCCCTATGTTTACCTTCATTGATATTTTTATTTCTTTATATAGATTCTAGTTACTGTATAGTATGCTTTCATTTTAACCTGCAGGACTCCCTTTAACAGTTTTGGCATGGCAGATGTAGGGCAGCAAGCTATCTCAGCTTTTGTTTAGCTGGGAATGTCTTAAGTTTCTCCTCACTTTCAAGTTTTGCCAGATATGGTGTTCTTGCTTGACAGTTTCTTTTTTATATTAGCACTTTGAAAATATCAGCCCACTGCCTTCTTATCTCTAAAATTTCTGATGAGAAATTTGTAGATAATCTTATTGCAGATGCTTGGTATGTGACAAGTCATTTCTATCTCTTGCTGCTTTCAAGATTTTCTCTTTGCCTTTGTATTTGGAAAGTTTGATTATAATGTATATCCATGTGGGTATCTATGAATTCATCTTACTTGGAGTTAATTGAGCTTCTTGGAGGTTTATGTTCATGTCTTTTTTCAAATTCGAAGAATTTTTCACCATTATTTCTTCCTATATTCTCTCTACTCCTTTCTTTCTCTCTGCGTTGTCTGGGACTCTCATGGTGTGTATGTTGAGCCCCTTGATGATGTCTCACAGGTCTCTTGGGCTCTGCTCACTTTTCTTCAATTTTGTTTTCTTTTTGTTCCTCAGACTTGATGATTTCCATTGCCTTATCTTTGAGTTCTCTGATTCTTTCTTTTGCCTACTCATATCTTCCCTCAAAGCCCTCTAGTAAATTTTTCATTTCTGTTATTTTAATTTTTAGCTCCAGATGTTCTTTTTAGGTTTTCAAAATCTTTATTTGTATTGTCATTTTGTTTTATACATTGTTTTCTTGACTTCATCCACATGTACTTTTAGTTTATTTATTTATTTATTTATTGAGACAGGTTCTTGCTCTGTCATCCAGGCTGTAGTACATGGTTCAGTTAGCTCACTGCAGCCTCAACCTCCTTGGCTCAGGTGATCCTTCTGCCTTAGCCTCTTGAGTAGCTAGGACTACAGGTGTGTGCCATCCATGCCTGGATAAATAAATAAATAAATTTAATAGAGATGAGGTCTCACTATGTTGCCTAGGCTTTTAAATTTTATTTTTTGGGTATGTAGTAGGTGTATATATTCATGAGGTACATGAAGTATTTTGATACAGGCATGCAGTGCATAATAATCACTTCTAAGATACAAAATAAAGCCCTCTTTACTCTTTGCTTTCCTTTCCTTAAGCAGATGGTGGGAGTAAATTTTGTTGTGAGTTGTGTTGCCTGGTGTTGCAGGAGGAATGGCACAAGCACTTCCTTAGCCACCCTGGCTGGTGTCCAATGTTCACTGATTCTAAGCCCAGCACAGCACTAGGACTTGCCCAGGAATTGCAGTCCTTGTGGCCTAGACTGCCTCTCAAGTTTGTTTAGGATCCCAGAGCACTTAAGCCCATGGTGGTAAGTCTTGTGAAAATTCAAGTTCCAGCTGCTGGGATGGGTGATTCCCCTCTGGCTAGGGCTGATCTATATGCTCCCTGTGTGTGTTGGCATTGGCTGAGTTTAGCCCAGCTTTACTTTCCATTGTGACAGGGCAGCATTGAGTTCAATGCAGAGCCCCACAATCACTGTACTGTCCATTTCCCAGGTTTACAGATTGTCTCTCTGTGCTATGTGGCTGCTGCCAGAGGGATAGGGGAGGGGCATCATTGGCAATTCAAGACTATGTTTCTTACCTTCTTCAGTGCCTCTTTCAGCAATATGAAGTTAAACCAAGTACTGTGATTGCTTATCTGATTTCCTGTTTTTACGAAGGTGCTTTTTGTGTGTGTAGATAGTTTGTTAAATAGGTCTTCTGCAGTGGGGATCATTGTTGCAAGGTTCAGTTTGGCCATCTTGCTCCACCCTCCCTCTTTTCCAGTTCTTAAAGTATCTTCAAGACAGTTATTTTAAAGTCTTTTTTGAGTAGATCTGCTGTTAGGTCTTTTTCAGGGGCAGTTTCTGTTGACTATTTTTTCCTTTGAATGGGCTATATTTTCCTCTTTTTTTTTTGAATGCCTTGTGTTTTTTTTTGTTGAAAGTTGGGTATTTCAATTTAATGATGTGGTAACTCTGGGATGCAGACTCTTCTTTTTCCTCAAGGTTGTTTGCTTTTTGTTATTGTTTTGTTTGTTTATAAAAATTGCTTTAGTCTGTCTCTGTGCCAAGGATCAGCCTGAGGTGTAAACATAAGGTCTTTACTGGTATTCTCTGAGCTTGCATCTTTCTGTGGTCATGTGTGTTAACTTTCTAATTTTCCCCATATATTCAGTTGTTTGTGAATGTCCTTATCTTTAATATCTGGCTCCCAAAAGGAGAAAAAGAGAAAAATGAAAAAGGGAGTGGAAATAGGGTGCCAGCCCTTTAAATCTCTGGAAGTCATTTCAGCTGGATGGGGAGGGGTTTGCAACAATGGAATAAGGTGTAACAGCAAAGACCCACCACCTCTTTGTCTGTACCTCTCTGATCAGAAGCAGCAATCATCAATCTAAGCACATATGCCTGATACTTAGAGGACAGGGTCCATTTTGCTTATCCTGGCTCCTTCAAGCTGTGTGCAACAAGCTGCTGCAGGAATACATGCACAGCTGCCTGCCACAGGGGTGGGGATAGGAAATGGGTAGCTGTTACTGTGCTAAGAGCTAAAATTGACTGAGCTGAAATCAAAGTTAACTGCAATGTACCATCCAAATGTTTCCCTGAAAGTTGCAAGCCTTCAATAGACTCCAGATTTCCAAAACAGTTATATCAGACATACTCTGTCAGTGCAATTATTGCCTAAGCAGGGAGACAGATTCCTCGTGTTTCTTACTCTTGCAGCTCCCCAGGATGCTCTCCCTACCTTCCTTTATTTAATGTTTTTATGATACATCTTTTCCCCTTTTTATTACGTTTACCCTGACTATATTGTTATATTTGAGTGAGTTTCTTGTCATCAACCTATTGTTTGGTTATGTTTTAGTCAACTCTTGTCTTTTAATTGTCTTTAGCCAACTCTTGTCTTTACAATGATTTGAATTATTTACATTTATTGGATTTATTAATGTATTAATGCTTAAGTCTGAAATTTTATTTTTTGTTTTATATTTGTTCTCTCTGTTTTTCTATGTGTTTTCTTTTTTTATGCTTCCTGGTGATTATATGAATATTTTTTAGAATTTCATTTTGATTTATCCTTAGATTTGATACAAGAGAATCTCTTTCATATAGTTTTTTAGTGATTGCTCTTGGTGTTAAATTATATATGCACAATTTTTCATAGTTTAAAAGTGTTGTCATTTTACCAGTTTGAGTGTAGAAAACATACTTCCCGTAATGCCACATTTTTCTTCCTCATTTATAATATAATTGTCTTAAATATTCCCCCTTCGTACATTTAGAATTACATAATACAGTGTATTGGCATCTATTGATTTTTAAAAATTCAGTTTGAGACCTTCTTGGTTCTTGGTATGTTAAGTTATTTTCCATTGAAACCTGGACATTTTGAAACCTGAACGTGGAGGCTCCTTGTTACTTTTGTGTGGCGGTGGGGTTTTTGGCTCCCTGTTAGTCCTCCACTGATATCTGTTTGGCTGAGAGAGTTGGGAATGTTTCCTTTCACCTCCCAACTGGTTTCCACTGACACCATGGAATGCAGTGGAGGAGGGAAGGTGGCCTTGTTGTCACTGGGAAACGGTGAATATTCCAACTCTCCACTAGGGCTTCTCTGATACTACCCAGGCCAGCAGGAGGATGTGGAGTTAAGAAATCCTGGCTCCCCATGTTGTCTCTACTAACACTGTGGAGAAGTGGGATGAGCTTGTTACTTCCCAGTAGGAATTCCTGACTCCCTACCCAGCCTTTTCTGACACAGCCTGGCAAGGGGTTAGAGTGCCTATAACAGCTTGGTAAGGGGGAAGCACAGGCTTCTGCACTTCCATCAGACTTTGCTAGTGGGGTGAGAGTGAGCCAGTTTTTCTGTGGTGTTTGTTATAACAAAGCAACTATATTCTAAAAGTTTTTGTCTTTCTGGTTTTTCCCTTTTTCTCATTCCTTGGCTAGAGAAAGTAAGATTTTGTTTGGCCTTTTTGATCTGTGATGGTTCCATTTTATGGTTGCCAACTTCAATGGCTCTAAATCTGGAATATATGAGGCAAAATGAAAATCCAGGAACACACTGCTTTGTTTTTCTTCAAATCCTAAGGTTTCTAGCCCATATGCCTTGTTCTCTCCAACTTTTAGAATCTTCTCATGTTTGCTTTTTAAATAACGTCCAGAGACTCAATTATATGTAGCAGGAGGAATGTGGAAAAGCATCTCCACTTCACACCCCCCTGGAAGTAAAAGTTATGATGCATATACAGTGAGATAAAATTTGAAGCTCTGCATGCGTATGATGTGTGCCACTTATAGCACATGATAGACTCTCTTTCATTCAAAATTCATTCCAGGCCTGCTGTGTCCCAGGCACTGTTCAAGGCATTGCAGATATAGTGATGAACAAAATAGATAACATTTCTCTCTTTATGGTGCATACATTCTTGTGGGAAGAGGTGGACAATAAACACAGAAAGTAGAATATGTTAGTAAAAAATGCTACTGGAAAAAGTAAAGTAGATTTATGAGGCTAGTGAGTGCTGGAGGCATTGGAGGTTATTTATTTTACATAAGGTGGTCAGGGAAGCTAACATTTGAGCAGAGTGGCTGCAGTGAGATGGACAAAGACAAAAGTGGTAGAAGAGAGCAGAGATGTAGTTGGGGAATCAGATTGTCTAGGGTCTTGAAGGCAGTCAAGAATTTGGGCTTTCATTTAGTCATGAAGGAGGTTTTCAGAGAGAAGTAATATGATCCAGTTTACAGCTTTATTGGTCTGCTATATGGAGAATAGATTGCGGTGGAGTAAATGTGGTGGTCAAATGAGGAGGCTTTTACAAATACCCGGGAGAGGTTTAATGAGAGATTAAACTCAGATGGAATAATGGAGTTAGTGAGATGTGGCCAGATTCTGAAAACATTTTGCAGATAAAGATGACAGAAATTGCTAACAGATTTTATGTGGGGTGTGAGAGAATGAGAGAGAGAGAGAGATCAAAGATGGTCTAAGATCTTTGGCTTAAGCAATTGGAAGAATAAACTTGGCATTTACTGAGATGGGGAAGACCGAGGGAAGTGCAAGTCTGGGGAAGAATGGGGAGTCAGAGGTTTGGGTTTGACTGTGTTAAAATTGAAATATCCATTAAACTAGGGGCATAGTAGGAGGTTGCCCACAGGAGTCTGAGTTTAAGGACTGCAGATATCCTGTCTGGAGATATCAATTTGGGACTTGCTGTCCTATAGATAATTGCTTTTGTCTGTTTTGCGCTGCTATAACTGAATACCTGAGACTGGGTAATTTACAAAGAGCAGAAATCTATTTCACACGGTTCTAGAGGCTGGGATGTACAAGGCCAAGGTGCCAGCATCTGATGGACTCCTTCTTGGTGTATTCTCACGTGGAGGAAGGCAGAAGGTGAAAGGGCAAGAATGAACAAATCCACTCCCTCAAGTCCTATTTATAGCAGCATTAATCCATTCATGTTGGCAGAGCCCTCATGACCTAAACACCTCCTAAAAGGCCCCACCTTTCAGCACCGTTGCATTGGGGATTAAATTTCCAGCACACAAATTTTGGGGAACACATTCAGATTATATGAATGATATTTAATGATATGTCTAGATGTGATCACATAGACAGAGACTGTAAATAAAGAAGAAAAAGAGTCCTGAGTTCTGGGGGCACTCTCATATTTAGAGGTCAGGAGGATGAGGAGAAACCAGCAAAGGAAAATGAGAACAGATCAGTGAAGCAGAAGAACCAAGAGAGTGTGGTGTGCTGGAAGTTGAGTAAAGAAAGTGTTTCCAGAAAGAGGGAGTGATTAATTTGTCAAATAAGAAGAGAGTTGTAAATTGATTCTTGGGTTTGGGAATGTGATGGTCTCTGGTGGCCCCACCAAGATTTGTTTCCATGGGAGGAGGGGGAAGGAGGAAAGAAGTGGAGGAGAAGACAGAGATGGTGAGCATAAGCAACTCTCTGGAGTTGCTATAAAGGAAAGCAGGAAAATGGAGTAGTAGATGAACAAGGTTACAGGGTCAAGAAAGGTGTAATTACTATACAGAACAGTTAAATATATACATGGAAACTTTGTATTTATCTATAGAGTTTGAATTTATTTTGATTGACAATGAGTCTAAAATTTCATATAGTGAAAAGTCTTCAATTGGCTTGATAATCTTAGCAATAGCATTTATATTTGAAGAAGACTTAGTTAAATATGAGTTGGTCTATGCAAGATGTGTAATTTTAAAGCTTCTTTTCTTTGGTTTAATTTGGATTTGCAATTTCAGTTAACCCTTTCCAATGAATCCCCCCAAATGAATATTTACTTAGCAATGATAAAAAAACTTTATATTTACAGAGTACTTATCAGTCTCTCTATAAGAACAAACATAAAAGAATGAAAATTTACATTAGAGGTGTAGGAGGTAATTAAAGTGATGTGGTCCCAAACCAGGGAAACTGAGTCTCAGACCATAGGTGGAGCATGGGATCTGAAGGGGAAACTCACCTACAACTCTACAGCACCAATTGCCAGCCTCTTGGGCTAATAGACTCTCTCCCGCTTCTGTCATTGTCTTTGTCTTTTTCTACAGTGAAACAAGCTTTGAACTATTTCCAGCTTTCCAATAGCAAAGTTATTCAGATTAGATGAACTTTATTTGTTCTCCGGGACATCTAGTTCTCCAAAGTCTTCTGTCTGTACCATGTGTTCACCAAACCTCCTTCTTTTTCCTGCTGGGAAACCCAATCAGCTGCATTTCCCAGCCTCCCTTGCAGTTGGGTGGGGCCAAAAGAATGAGGGTGGAATTTATGCCACTTCCAGCCTGAAGCATGGTCATTAAGAAAATCTTCTACACAATCCTCCTTGTCCTCTCTCTTCCTTTGCCTGCTGGATAGATGCAGAAGATTCCTTGGAAGGGCCTGGGTCCTGAATGGCTGTGGAGCAGAAGCTTGAATAGCATCTTACTGTGGCATGAGCAAGAAATGAGCTTTTATTATGTTGATCTTTTGATACTTTGTAGTTGTTTGTTACAGTAGTGAGCCTGCCCTGATTAATACATACTTCTACTGCAAGTATTACAAAAATACAACTTTTTAAAAAATACCTTTCTGTAGCCTTTCAGGATCCTTTCCTTCTAAGAAGTCACCTTCAGGCTCCCAAAGCTTTCCTGGAGTGTGAATGCAAGGAGAAACAAATAGCAACAATCCTGTATCAGTTACTTTTTCCTGCATCATCTTATTTAATTTCTGTAGGAATCCAATGATTCTCATAAAACAGTAGTCCAATGAGTCCAGCCTCATAATCCAATAAGGTTAATAATTAACCTCAGTTTACAGATGAAGGAGTTTGTCCAAGATCACAGAGTTATGAAATAGTGAAATCCTTCGAGCCTGACCTTTTTAACCACGGAGCCCTTGCTCTCCCACTACATCTTCACTCTGTTCTTTTTCCCTCTGGGGAAGGAAGTAAAACTCATGAATCTAATTCACTTATGCACACTCTGGTATTAGAGACTCAATTTCCTTTCTCTTGTTGTGTGTATTTGTGTTTTGAAGGAGGTGAGAAACAGAGAAGGTAATTATTTACTGACATGAATTGTAGGCACTGTTGTGATTGGGTGGGGTGGGAGGCATTCTGCAGACGACATAGTAGACCTGAGTCCAGGTGTGAAGGGGAGAGGGAGACAGCAGACAGCATTTAGTTTCTAGGGAGACAGCACAGGAAACTAACCTTTCTTTCCCCTTCAGCTTTTTAATACAAATAATTAAAGATCCTCATAGTCCATTAACTGGCCAGGAGAGCAGATGGTAGAGGTGAGAAGTTTCAGCATCCTGAGAACACTTGAGCAGCCTCCCTGTTCCAACAGAATTGTCCATATTCAAGCCAAGAGAGGAAAGATGTGGAACTGCTGTTGCCAAGGGGGAAAGTGCAGGTCTTCAATACCACCTTGATGTTTTATGTTTATAAAATTTGGCTCAGCTGGGCGCGGTGGCTCATGCCTGTAATCCCAGCACTTTGGGAGGCTGAAGCAGGTGGATCACGAGGTCAAGAGTTCCAGACCAGCCTGGCCAATATGGTGAAACTCTGTCTCTACTAAAAATACAAAAATTAGCTGGGCATGGTGGCAGGTGCCTGTAGTCCCAGCTGCTTGGGAGGCTGAGGCAGGAGAATTGCTTGAACCCTGGAGGTGGAGGTTGCAGTGAGCCGAGATCGTGCCACTGCACTCCAGCCTGGGCAACAGAATGAGACTCTATCTCAAAAAAAAAAAAAAAATTGACTCACACATAATGCAACACCTGTCTGCATACTTTTGCCAGTCACTCCATAATTTAAAATGTGCTTCTTCATAGGAAGCATCAAATTAGATAATTTCATCCTCACAGCAATTTTAGGAGGCAACACTCACATATGATCCAGGTAAAAAAAATGGTGACTCACATCCCTGACATGAAGCCCAGGGCATTTCTTAGACTTCCTGTTTTTGAGAAGGAAATCTAAGACAAACCTCCCAGACTTTGAAGGATGGGTGTTCCTATCCAAAATGCAACTGTGATTATCTGTGAAATCTGCAGATCTTGTCTGCTCTTTCTTGTCTGCAAAAGATCAGATGAATGCTCTGGAGATGTGTGTGGTTGTCTAGCATGAGCATGTGCGTGTGCATTTGTACATGTGTGTGTGCATGCATATGTGTGTGTGTTTTTGTGTAAGAGACAAAGAAAGAAAAATGAATATAAAATTTACAGAATCAAATATCAGTTTTCAAAGCTTCAAGATCCAATTGTGTGTATAGGATTATCTGCCCTGTTTAGGAAAGTGTTTTCTGGAGTGGAGCTCCAAGTCTGTGATGAATGTGCCAAACTAGGGGTTCCTTCTCGGAGAGTCATCATATCCTTAGTATGCCATGGCTTGAAGAAACCCCACAATGAGTAAATATTAGGTCTTGTCTGATGTTATAGATCCCAAGCTTACTTAACTATGGATTCTCTTTTTTGAGTCTATCACTCATTCACATACAGTGACAGTACATCTTTTTGAAAATGCCAATTCAAGAGTAATTAGAAAGGTTTAATGTAGAAAACTAGGATTATCAGAAGACCTAGATTTTGCTCTTACTCTATCACTAATAGGCTTTATAATTTTTGATAAATTATTTTTATTTAGTTCTTTTTCAAGTATTTTTTTCTGCCTTGAAGGAAACATTTCTTTAAGGATATTTATTGTACTTATTTAAAATTGTTGTTCTGTCATGATAATTCCACTTTGCATGGTACATGTTATTCATTATTTATTACATAAATTATTTATATATTACATGTTGTTGATTATTTCTTAGTGGTTGTACTTTTCAGGTATGTAATTATTTTGGCCTGTGATATACATCCTCCTGGAGAAGATAATTTGTATTGGGTTAAGGCGAAATGGCAGAGCCTGGTTTTTGTACCTTCTGGTGTGAGCTTAAGAAAGAGGTGGGGATGAGACCATGTTCTTTTTTAACAGTGAATCCTAACCTTTCCTCCCTGTGTGTCCCAGGACATTTGTGTACTCACTGCTCAATCGAGGGAGGCCTTATCCAGCTATACTCATTCTCAGAGGCACTGCCTTCTGCACTGGAAATGGAGTCCTTCAAGGCTACTATCTGATTTACTGTGCTGAATACCCTGATGGGTGGTACACAGACATACGGTTTAGCTTGGGTAAGTGAATCTGCCCACTTCTCACCTACTTCCCAGCTAACAACCCTTCCCACAATCTACATCGCCATGGCCTCTCCCTACTGCAATGACCTCGTAATGATCCCATCTTCCCCTCCCTCACCTCTACCCTGATCTTTTCTCTATATGGTAGCCAGAGAGATTGTTTAAACACATATCATGCCATTTCCCATCGCAAAACTCTCCAGTAGATTTCCTTTACTCTCAAAATAAAATACAAATTCCTTCCCACTGCCTTTAAATCCTAAATATTCTTGGTCTTTTCAATTTCCCAACCTCTTTTCCTGGCTCCCTGCACCTCCTTTTCTGTGCTCCAGTGCCAGTGGCCTTCCTGCTGTGCCACAAGCTGTCAAGCTTGTCCAGCCCCAGTGTTTTTGTATAGGACTGTTCCCTCTGCCTAGTACAGGGGTGTCCAGTCTTTTGGCTTCCCTGGACCACATTGGAAAAAGAAGAATTGCCTTGGGCTACACATATAATTCACTAACACCAATGATAGCTGATAAGCTGAAAGAAACATTGTTTCTTAAAACAATGTTTTAAGAAAGTGTACGAATTTGTGTCAGGCCACATCCAAAACTGTCCTGGGCTGCATGTGGCCCACAGGCTGTGGGTTGGACAAGCCTGGCCTAGAAGGCTTTGCCCCCATGTATTCATGGGGGTTGGTTCCTCACTTTATTTAGTTCCCTACCAATTTGCACCTCCTCAAAGGGACTTTCCCTGACCACCCTATCTAAAATGGTTGAAGACACTGCTGTGTGTGCTGTCCCCCTTCCCTCCCCGCTCCCCTACCATCCCCTGCCCCAGATACCCTTTCTTCCAGGCTAATGATCTTTTGACTAGGCAAGGTGGAAAATCCTTGTTTTATATCAAATCAAATAAGGTGAGAATAGACTTGATTGTTTCAACTAAACTGTTCTTGCTTTTTGCCTATTTTGAAAAGCACCAAAGT
Source organism: Homo sapiens (assembly GCF_000001405.40). Taxonomy (NCBI): domain Eukaryota; kingdom Metazoa; phylum Chordata; class Mammalia; order Primates; family Hominidae; genus Homo; species Homo sapiens. The sequence continues at coordinate 31,532,635 of NC_000002.12, read as the reverse complement.
GCTTTGCTGACAGGTTGGGTTGGGCCTCTTTGTGGGACGGTGAGTGTTTCTGGGCTGTAATAATGCCTTTTGGGATGCAGGATCTAGCATCCCTGATCCTGGCTGTCCTCACCTCAGAACAGGGCCCTTTCTGTACCAGTGGATAGTGCATGTGGAGACACCTCCAGGATATGTGGCTAAGTAAGATAAATAAAAATGTGAACAGTGTGTGTAGTATGCTACTTTTAATGTCAGAATGTGTGTGTGTGTGTGTGTGTGTGTGTGTGTGTGTGTGAACTGGCAGTGATGGAAGTCAGTTTGTTAGTGGCCACGCCTCCAAACTAGCTCACGTTATTTCATGAGAGTGGGTGTTTCAGTCAGGAATGCGTTCAGAAAACCATATAATAGTGACGGGAATAATTCAGAATTCATAGTTCTTACATAACAAGTGTCGAAGTAGGTGGCTTCTGCATTCCTGTGGTTGCTTACTGACACCATTAATAACTCAGGCACTTTGTGTCTCCCCTATTCTTAGCATGTTTACCTGTGGTCCTCTTATTCATCACTTCATGGTTGCAAGATGTTGACTGTAGCTCAAGGCATTACATCTGGCAATCAAGACAGGAAGAAAGACGAAGTAGGGGCACCGGTCTTGCCTGCACCTTTTATCAGAAAAGCAAACGATTTCCAAGGAAGTCCCCCAACCAAGACTTCACTTTACATCTTATTGGTGGAACTAGCTCATGTGACCCCCTTTCTCAGTGCAACCTCTGTAGTGGGGGATGGCAAAAGAAAAGGGGCTGGAATCAGCTGTTGAGATATGAAACCTCGATTTGACTGTTTGTGAATGAGCTAAAGGCTTACTATTATGATCCATGCATTTGTTTGTTTATCTATTTAAATACTGGACAATGGTGCTACCTCCTGCTCTCCTCTCTTTTCTAATCTGTCTCCATCAGTGGTGCCACTGTGTACTTTCAGCCCAAGTCTAGGAAACAGCACACCCAGTGCTCCCCATTCAGGACCAGGACTCATTGCCCTCCCCACTTTCTGCCACGTCTTAGGACCATTCTTAGATTTAGAAATTAAATGCCCCTCCTTTCATTTTAGCTTAGTTTGTGAAAAAAGCACCACAATCTGGACACATTTAAAAAAAATTTCTCCTTTCTCTCTTCTTTGTCAAGGTGTCTTCTTATTTATTTTGGGAATGGGAATAAACATTCATAGTGACTATATATTGCGCCAGCTCAGGAAGCCTGGAGAAATCAGCTACAGGATTCCACAAGGTAATGTCTCCCCTGCCCCCAGACTCTCACTCTTCCCTGGAGCCTGTCCCAGGGATGATGCTATGGTAGCAGATGGAGAGGGGACAGTGAGGGCACGAATGATACAATACCTCTCAGCTTGCTCTTGACTTCCCCTGCAAACCCAGTCCCATCACAGTACCTCTGCATTTCTAATCTGAACCCAGAAGCTCCAGAGAGCTACCAGAGCCCTCAGGAAGGTGCGAGACCGCAATACCCGGAAGGTGGGAGAGAGTGGGAGATTTGAGTAGGGTTGGAATCGGCTACCTACACCCTCATTGCAGTAGGTAAGGTTGTCATGTACAGAGGGCTGATCCTTTCTAGGTTGCAAATGATGCTGAATGCTTGGCCAATAAATGTGTCCCCTCCAATTGATCTAGACTTATCTTGTGAGCAGTTAAGGCTAGAACTTGCGTATTTCCTGCCATTCATATATACTTTTAAAGGTGTAGAGAACTATATTTACTTAATCAAAACTTAGGATGGGAGGCCTTACAAGCACAAGTGCATTTTTGGAGATAAAGGTGAGCATGTTTGTAATCCTAACTGCTCCAAAGAAACCAGGGTATGAGATTGACAAATATACGCAGATGGGAGCAAATCAGTCCAAGTCATCCTTCAGTAGGTTTAGATGGGTATTTGTGTAGGTCCTTGGCTTCCACCGTTTTTGATGTAAATACAACCCTTTATTTACATCAAAAAATTTCCTCAATTATGACATGATGTTAGTGCACATTAATAGTCATTGATTAAGAAATTAATGACAAAGTTACTATGAATTCAGTAACAGATTCAAATGAATTTGAATGTTGTTAATATCCTAACAGTATCTACATCAAACAAAAATAATTTAGGAGGTTAAGATGTGCCGTTTACTGTCTTCATAGAAAATTTATAGGCCCTTTGCTTTAGATCCGTGGTTCCTCCCAGGGCGTAGGGAATCACAGGTTGGGAACCACTGACGCAGTCTCATCTTCAAGAAAGATTCAACTCTAAGGGGCTTTGATTTTAAAAACATTCACTCCATAACTAGATAAATAAAGAAGAGCAGAGAAAGCACTTGAAAACCAGTTGCCAAGATTAGTTTCCAACTTTTGAATTATAATAGAGAATGATTTAAAACAAAGTATTTTTATGTAACTGTAGAAAGAACAAAATTGTTTCGGTTGAAACATCCCCAGTTTAATGTGGGTAATAAAATTTAGTGTGGATATATTTAATATCATTAGAAATATGCTGATTTCTAGATACAGTCCTGAGAGAAGAAATACCTGGTTGGATAGAAAATGAAACATTTAAAATCTAGAAGCCGACTTCACCAGCCTACAGCAGGACAAATACCTGCAGCTCCTACTCTCTGCTTTAAACATGAACAGAGGAGAGTGCTTTGCAGAAGGGTGGGGAGGGGCAAATCCCATAAGAGAATCTAAATTCCTTCTCCCGTGAGTTCAGATTTTTATTATTTTAATGTAGTGTGCAGTTTCACATTTTGGGACTGTGAATGTGAACGTGTGTGTGTCCAGGAAAGGAGCGGGGAGGTAAGAGGTGGCCCAAAAACCTTCCTTAACAGAACAAAACAAAAACCAGACCTCCTACACCTCTCCCTTATCCTACCCAAAGCTAGTGGTCCAGCAGTTGTTAGAGATTTGGATAGAGCCCGTTAAGCAGTTGAGGCCACTCTTCGCAACTCCAGAATGTTCTCCAGGCAACAGGCTGTTGTTGCTTTGTTTCCCCTTCTCCCCAAGAGGATTCCACCAAACTCCTATGACTATGGAGGGAGCCTCCAGCCCCACATTTGTTCTTGCTGCCTTTGTGTATTTTGGAACAACACAGATGGGTTTAATGTCAAAATGATTCAGTTGCAATGATTGACCTTCCGATTCTTCTGCACGCAGGTGGCTTGTTTACGTATGTTTCTGGAGCCAATTTCCTCGGTGAGATCATTGAATGGATCGGCTATGCCCTGGCCACTTGGTCCCTCCCAGCACTTGCATTTGCATTTTTCTCACTTTGTTTCCTTGGGCTGCGAGCTTTTCACCACCATAGGTAAATTTTTCAATAAAAGCGGCAGCATTCACGTAGCTTTCTTCTTCTCCAAACAGGCTTTTAACCCGCAGAGGAAGATTGAGAAACCGAAGATATTTAATTTTTTAAGGGAAGGTTGATACTATAATCTGGGTTAGCATATTCTGACTTGCTGGGCTTGTATTGAAGTTGGAAGTTAGCTGGATGAGAGTAGCAGTAATAAAATTTTTTCTAAGAACAAACATAAGTCCATGTAAACAGAGGCAACTGAGGTGACGGCCGGGAAGGTCCTGTGCCTGTCTTGTTGAAGAAGGCTGTCCAGCGAGAAGTGCCTTGCACCTTCTTGGGTTAGCTGACCCAGGCTCTGTGCCCACCAGGCAGGCTTACCTGGAGATGCTTAGATAAAGCCTCAAGAAGCGGAAGAAGCCGCTTCCATTTCCACCTTCAGTTTCATCCCCTCCCACCACATTTCTGGAAGTGTGCTCCAGAGGTGGGACCATGGCCAGCACTTTCCAAAGCTCCACAGATATTTATTTATTTATTTATTTATTTATTTATTTTTGAGTTGGAGTCTCACTCTGATGCCCAGGCTGAAGTGCAATGGGGCGATCTTGCCTCACTGCAGCCTTCACCTCCCAGGTTCAAGTGATTCTCCCACCTCAGCCTTCCAAATGGCTGAGACTACAGGCCCACCACCATGCCCAGCTAACTTTTTGCATTTTTAGTAGAGACAAGTTTCACCATGTTGGCCAGGCTGTCCTTGAACTCCTGACCTCAAGTGATCTGCCTGCCTCGGCCTCCCAAAGGGCTGGGATTACAGGCAAAGCCATCACGCCTGGCCTCCACAGATGTTCTGAGGCACAGCAGGCTAGAGAACCACTGGGAAAAAGTACTATCTTGGTGACTATGTGGCTGCTATTTTTGGCAACAAGATTTGGTGCTAACAGTTCAGGTAATCACAGAGCCCTGGAACTCCAGAAGGATTATTTCCCCTGGAATCTCTGCAATGCCAGGGTTTATTTTGGTACTGCCTTCCTTCCCTGACACCCACCCTCTATAAATCATAACCAAGGCCAACCCTGGATTCTGGGGAAGGTAGGACAAGAAATCCCATGTATGGGGCAATCTTAGGACTGCCCTATCTGCTGGGAAATGCCAGGGATTGCAGGTGTTTCAGAACCCTCCCTCTGAAGGTCTGGCCTAAAGCTTCACTAATCCACTAACCTGGGGTGGAGTGGGGACAAAAGAATTAACTAAAAGTATTGCTGGAAGTGAAAGGTAATATATTAGGTTGTTATCAGGCTTTAACTTGCCAAGTGTAAATGTCAGATCCTTTCCCTAAAATGGCTTTTGTGGAAAGAGAAAGCCTATAATTACTGGAGACTATGGATACTCAAACAGGGAATGAGTGGTCTTGGAACCAGGACCCTGGGGTTATGACTCAATGCCTAGTTTTGAAGATTTAACTAAGAATGAGTTCCTTTTTTTCTGATTAGAATTGTTCGAGGACAACAGTTCTGAAATGAATGAAGCAACAGCTAGTGACCTATTCCTACCACCTCCTAGACTCTGTGAGGAGGGGTGGCAGAGGGTTCCTAGCCCATAAAAGAGTCATAACAGTTCTTACCATTTCAGGCTGGGTCTGCTGCCCACCAGAGGCAGAGCGGGAATGGGAGAAGAGAAGGCATCACTCAGCACTTGGAGGGTCCCTGGGAAGGAGGGACTCTACTGTGCTTGGTTAGGGGAGGGATGGTAATTCCACCAGACGTTTCCAGCTGCTGCAACAACAAAACCCAAATTGAGGCCTCATCCTGTGATGTCAGACCTCCCAGAGAAGGGCCAGAAGGCATAGTTTTTAATAGGCTAACAGGACTTTGTGAAGGCTTCTATAAAACAAAGCCAGGCACTCACATCAGAGGCAGCACGGGCGGAGGCAGCCCACCAGACTTCTCAAATCACAGTACCGAAAACCAGCCACCTTTTGTAACTTATTATTTGCCCCCTAATTCAAACTAAGGTACTTTAATACAGTGTGTCATCTTGATTATGCCTTGAGGACCGCCAGCATCAACTAGTTAGGAAGACAGCCTGGCAACTTAAGCAGACAGGCTTCTTATAAGATGCATTCGTCTCCTGTGGCTGCTGCAATACATTACCACAAACTGGGCGGCTTAAAACAACACAGATTTGTCCTTTCATAGTTCTGGAGGCTAGAATTTTGAAATCGAGGCGTAGGCAGGGCCAGGCCCCCGTGACGGCTCTAGGGAAGAATTCTTCCTTGCCTCTTTTTAGCTTCTGATGGTGGCCGGCAACCCTTGGTGTTCCGTGGCTTATAGCTGCATCACTCTGATCTCTGCCTCCGTCTTCACATGGCCTTCTCTCCTGTGTGTCTCTGTCTCAGTCTCTTTGTCTCTTCTCCTCTTCTTTTTAGGACACAGTTATATTGGATTAAGGGCACACCCTGCTCCATTATGACCTCATCTTAATTTTATCTGCAATGGTCCTAGTTTCAGAAAAAAAAAAATTACCCTCTCAGTTACTGGGGGTTAGGACTTCAACATATCTTTTGACGAGACAAAATTCAACCCATGATACATGGTGACAATTTGCTGGCATTCCCAGGCCTCATGAAGGGATATTTTCCTGGGAACATTGCTGGTTCTCTTTGCCCATAGTCTTTGGTTCCCTGTATTTCCCAGCTGAATCCAAACAAGTACCTCCTTCTAGATACTACATTTTTTTTTCTGGTAGGATATACGTAACAAAAATTTTACCACTTTAGCCGTTTTTAATTGTAAAATTCAGTGGCATTAGGTACATTCATAATATTGCACAGCCATCACCACTACCCTCTGCCTGTTACTTTTCATTTCCCAGCAAAAGAAGCTTCAACATTTACAAGAAATAGGCTGTGGGAAGGAGAAATAAGAATCATAAGTGACCATCGAAATAGTCAGGCCCAAAATAACTGTAGGTTGACTTGTAACAAAGATTTGGTAAGAGCAAACCTCAGCTGTCAGCCACTGCTCCATTATATTTACAATTATTCCTTTCTTGTCTTTTAGGTTCTACCTCAAGATGTTTGAGGACTACCCCAAATCTCGGAAAGCCCTTATTCCATTCATCTTTTAAAGGAACCAAATTAAAAAGGAGCAGAGCTCCCACAATGCTGATGAAAACTGTCAAGCTGCTGAAACTGTAATTTTCATGATATAATAGTCCCGTATATATGTAATAGTAGGTCTCCTGGCGTTCTGCCAGCTGGCCTGGGGATTCTGAGTGGTGTCTGCTTAGAGTTTACTCCTACCCTTCCAGGGACCCCTATCCTGATCCCCAACTGAAGCTTCAAAAAGCCACTTTTCCAAATGGCGACAGTTGCTTCTTAGCTATTGCTCTGAGAAAGTACAAACTTCTCCTATGTCTTTCACCGGGCAATCCAAGTACATGTGGCTTCATACCCACTCCCTGTCAATGCAGGACAACTCTGTAATCAAGAATTTTTTGACTTGAAGGCAGTACTTATAGACCTTATTAAAGGTATGCATTTTATACATGTAACAGAGTAGCAGAAATTTAAACTCTGAAGCCACAAAGACCCAGAGCAAACCCACTCCCAAATGAAAACCCCAGTCATGGCTTCCTTTTTCTTGGTTAATTAGGAAAGATGAGAAATTATTAGGTAGACCTTGAATACAGGAGCCCTCTCCTCATAGTGCTGAAAAGATACTGATGCATTGACCTCATTTCAAATTTGTGCAGTGTCTTAGTTGATGAGTGCCTCTGTTTTCCAGAAGATTTCACAATCCCCGGAAAACTGGTATGGCTATTCTTGAAGGCCAGGTTTTAATAACCACAAACAAAAAGGCATGAACCTGGGTGGCTTATGAGAGAGTAGAGAACAACATGACCCTGGATGGCTACTAAGAGGATAGAGAACAGTTTTACAATAGACATTGCAAACTCTCATGTTTTTGGAAACTAGTGGCAATATCCAAATAATGAGTAGTGTAAAACAAAGAGAATTAATGATGAGGTTACATGCTGCTTGCCTCCACCAGATGTCCACAACAATATGAAGTACAGCAGAAGCCCCAAGCAACTTTCCTTTCCTGGAGCTTCTTCCTTGTAGTTCTCAGGACCTGTTCAAGAAGGTGTCTCCTAGGGGCAGCCTGAATGCCTCCCTCAAAGGACCTGCAGGCAGAGACTGAAAATTGCAGACAGAGGGGCACGTCTGGGCAGAAAACCTGTTTTGTTTGGCTCAGACATATAGTTTTTTTTTTTTTTACAAAGTTTCAAAAACTTAAAAATCAGGAGATTCCTTCATAAAACTCTAGCATTCTAGTTTCATTTAAAAAGTTGGAGGATCTGAACATACAGAGCCCACATTTCCACACCAGAACTGGAACTACGTAGCTAGTAAGCATTTGAGTTTGCAAACTCTTGTGAAGGGGTCACCCCAGCATGAGTGCTGAGATATGGACTCTCTAAGGAAGGGGCCGAACGCTTGTAATTGGAATACATGGAAATATTTGTCTTCTCAGGCCTATGTTTGCGGAATGCATTGTCAATATTTAGCAAACTGTTTTGACAAATGAGCACCAGTGGTACTAAGCACAGAAACTCACTATATAAGTCACATAGGAAACTTGAAAGGTCTGAGGATGATGTAGATTACTGAAAAATGCAAATTGCAATCATATAAATAAGTGTTTTTGTTGTTCATTAAATACCTTTAAATCATGGATGTTAAGCAGTTTTGTTTGAATTAAAATATCCTGGGACTTCTGGAGATTTTCACAAGGTATTGGGGTGTGCTTCCCTGTCCCGCCTGTCCCTCATTCCCATTCACCCTGTCTGTAGTGTCGTTTCCTTTCTTCTCTTCTCTCTTCATGAAATTAGGGGCTGTGTGCTGGAAATAAAGAAGTATGACTTATACAGCCTCTCAGCCACAATTCAGAACTACAAGGAAGTACAATAAAGGTGCAGGAAAACGTCATGAGGTTAGATGCCACTCCTGGTGCTGAGGAATACACAGGGGGAATGAACACACTTGGTGAAGTAAATCTTCAGGTGTAGCTTGAGCTCTGTGACATAAAAGACTTCCAGTTCTCTCCATGACATTGAAAACTACCTTGCTTAAGTCCTTTATTTTACTACCATGTAAAACATCCAGGCCGGTCCTTGAGATGAAATAAATATACAATAAATGGCAGTACTCAGTCTCAGGACAAAACCGCCATTTGGCAATTTCACTTTTTGCCACAAGAGGGCGCTTTCTAAAATAGTATTTAGTCCAACCTTGACTTAATTAGGTCCAACCCCAGTCCTGTTGCCTGATCGTGGACCTTTCAAGTTAGCATGATCGTGGAACTTCTTAATCTGAATATAGGGTAGAGTAGCGTGAACTCTATGAAAGCTGAAACCTTCCCTTGATAATTCAGGTATTCTCAGTGTTCTAGGGCTGTTGTGTTCAATGACAGTTTGTCATTGTTTAGGGCTAGGATATGTATGTGGATTAAATACAGTAAAGGTCTGAACATGTGCTCATCTCTAAACATATTTCTTCCCACTTTTAAAAATAGGGTGCAACAAAATTATAGTTAATTGAGGTTTCCATGGACTGTTTTTTGGCTAAAATAATCTAACAGTGTCCTAGCTCACAAGATACTCTATCTTGGTCTTGCTGAAGCTTTCACGGAAGAGGCGTTTTCCTGCCAACCTTGAAGAAAATGTTGAGTTTTGTTTGTTTTTCAGAATTTAGACTTAAAGAGCTGAAGCAGACCTCAGACATCAGCTATTCCTACCACTTCACATTATAGGTAGTGACACTGAGACCCACAGAGTTAAAAGGCCTCCTCACAGCTGGTACAGAGCTGGTCAGAGCAGCCATCTCATTTTGTCCCTTTGAGGGTCAGATGTATGCTTCTTCTGCTTAAGGCACAGCCTTTAGGGCTGCCATCTGGATTTCTACAGAGCTCATGCAGGAGAAAAATAGCCAGAGCTTAAGTGCTGTTGCATAGTTCAGTTTATACACCTATTGTCCCATGCCTGTTTGTGTGTGAGGCTTCCCTCGCTCCGTGGGAGCACCAGGCTCATGCCCTTTCATAAACCTATTTGACAGAATAGAGAGTTTTCCCTCATTGGTGTAGTCAAGACAACATGTGTGTTCAGCATGGAAAAAAGGTTTCAGGTCATAAACCCCCTTATCCCTAATGCTTACTTTCATAAAGAACAACAGTGGCTCCACTGTATTCTAAAAGGAAAAAGGAGCTCTAATGAGAAATACGCAATTAAACAGCTATTTAGGCGGCTTAGACCCTTTCAGGAACAAATAAATAAATCCGTGGTTTTACAACCCTGAAGTTTGATAATAGCTCTCTTGGATTTTTGTGGTTACCTCATGGCAATCTCACTAAGAAGCAGGGGAGCAAGCTCTTGGCACATGAAGGAATAGGCTCATGAAGATTCATTTCTTTTCCCGCTTGGCCTTTTGGTTCTCTAATAAGCTGTGAGCTGAGGTCCATGCAGGGAAAACAAGGAGGGTAACGGCAAATGTAAAGTGAATTTTTCTGGAGAAGGATGCTGATTATTTTATAGCATCTACACTATCCTATGATGAAAGAGGCATAGAGCCGGGTGGCAATGTGAGTTCTTGGGTGATTTAATAAGCCATCGAGTGGATTTAATTTCTAAGTAAGACATTTGTTTATTCTTTGTACAAGTCCATGGAGTTGTGATCTTAAAGAGTTCTGTGTTATTTGCATTGTGCCTCATTTCTCCCCATCAACCTTAGCTTGAGATTTGGATGAATAAAATAAATAACTGGAGAAGGTTAAAGTATGCACCAAGCTGTGTTAGTTTCTTTAGTCCTGTCTTTTTGGGTTGAGGGTTTGGTTTTGCTCAATGCAGTAACAATCTAGATTCTTTATTGGAGGGATAGCGAATATCCCTTCCGACATGGCAAGCTGGCTGGGAGGAGGAGGACAACAGAGAAAGTGGAGGAAGGAGGGGAGTAATGAGCGAGGGTCTAAGGGAGGGTTGGCAATGGAAGGCCCTTGAGAGAGAGGGGCCTCCCACTGACAGAGTGGGCTTCCTCCCTTTCCTGTGTCCAGGCTGCACAAGCCTGGTCCCTTCTTTATCCTCCCAGGAAAAGACCTCCCTCTGACAGAGAGAATAAACACTTGTTAGAGCTCCATTTCATAAAAGAAGAAGCTGACTTTTAAAAAACACAAGCCATTTGGCTGTGCTTCACCATAAATAATTGTATTTCTGTCTGCTCACCTCGTAAAGATAGTTTTAGTTCTGCGTAGTAGTGACATTGTGAGAAAGAGGTGAAGTAATTGCTCTTAGAGCGTGTGGCAGCATCCAAGTCGGCTGAGGCCAATGGGAAGATGGGAGCATCCAGAAGAATAAGCAACTGCCAGGGTTCCCCTTTTCAAGGCCTTTGTTTTCCTTTACTCCAGACGCACTCCCCAAAAAAGGATCCTTCCTTATAGAGAAGCGTTTTTACAGTGTTGACTAGAAAGCAATACCGTAAAATCAATTAAATTTTGTCAATGTATTAGTGCTTTCATTTGTTACAAGTTGCCTTTCAGATACTATTTCATTAAAATAATTCTTTATGATGGTTTATAACAGGATAAGCTCTGAACAGATAAGTAAGTGAGGGGAAGTAGAAATAGGAGTAAAAAGTAAAATAAAGCCAGAGATAAAGTTAAAATGCAAAAATGCCCTTGGAAGATCATGTACAGTGGCTAAATCTAAACATAAATTGGGTCCTGAGTCTCCAAAGTACAGAAGGAAATTACCAGTTGCTAAATCCACAACATTCACAAAAGAAAAACAACTTGACCAGGGAAACACAACTATTACCGGTACTGAGACTCATGATAAATTTCTACACTGTGTGATGTGGGGAACTATGTTCATGAGAGCATCTTTACAATAAATGCAGGGGTCACTTTGTGCAGCTTCTTATAATGTCTTTCCACAAGGACAACATTCTAATGCGCAGCTCAATTCTTTAGAAGCAAAGGGGATGAGGAGGTTTTTTTTCCACTTAGGGTGTAGAAAGCCACCAGATAACCATTCCTACTCTAAAAATGAGAAAAAACCAGATAGTATATAAGATTATAACTTTTTGAGCCTTTTAATGAACTGAGATAGGAGAGCAACCAGAAGAACTGAATTTCAGAGGAAACACACAAACCGTTTCACTTTCAGCGGAGTATGGGAGGAAGAGGTAATGGCCATAAGAGTGGGAAAGAAGAAAACAACAGAAATTTCAATGAATTATCAATAGCTGAGTGGAACCTAGCATGAGATTAGAATCCCTGGGAGACTCAGACACTTGGCTGAACAAGCATCCAGATCTGCCCCAGGATGAGGAGTTTCCTGGGACACAGGACTTTCTGTGCTCAAACTGGAAAAGTCCTAGGCAGACCAGGATGACCTGGTCACCTTAGTCTGGTTGCCAGGTCTTTTACCCAGACCTCCACCTGGAGCTTATGAGGTGGGTTGGGGACAGGGAAGGGGATCTGAGAGGGCCCTTCTTTGGTGGTGCATAGTTACAAAAGCCCACTGTATTAGTTCGTTTTCATGCTGCTGATAAAGACATACCTGAAACTGGGAACAAAAAGAGGTTTAATTGGACTTACAGTTCCACATGGCTGGGGAGGCCTCAGAATCATGGCTGTGGAAAGAGAAAAATGAGGAAAAAGCAAAAGCGGAAATCCCTGATAAACCCATCAGATCTCGTGAGACTTATTCACTATCACGAGAATAGCATGGGAAAGACCAGCCCCCATGATTCAATTACCTGCCCCTGGGTCCCTCCTACAACATGTGGGAATTCTGGGAGATACAATTCAAGTTGAGATTTAGGTGGGGACACAGCCAAACCATATCATCCCACCCCTGGCCCCTCCAAATCTCATGTCCTCACATTTCAAAACCAATCATACCTTCCCAACAGTCCCCCAAAGTGTTAATTCATTTCAGCATTAACCCAAAGTCCACAGTCCAAATACTCATTTGAGACAAAGCAAGTCCCTTCTACCTAGGAGCCTGTAAAATCAAAAGAAAGCTAGTTACTTCCTAGATACAATGTGGGTACAGGTATTCGGTAAATACAGCCATTCTGAATGGGAGAAATTGGCCAAAACAAAGGGGTTACAGGGCCCATGCAAGTCCAGAATCCAGCAGGTCAGTCAAATTTTAAAGCTCCAAAATGATCTCCGTTGACTCCAGGTCTCGCATCCAGGTAACGCTGATGCAAGAGGTGGGTTCCCATGGTCTTGGGCAGCTCCACCCCTGTGGCTTTGCAGGGTACAGCCTCCTTTCCGGCTGACTTCACGAGCTGGTGTTGAGTATCTGTGGCTTTTCCAGGCACGTGGTGCAAGCTGTTGGTGGATCTAAAATTCTGGGATCTGGAGAACAGTGGCCCTCTTCTCACAGCTCCACTAGGCAGTGCCCCAGTAGGGACTCTGTGTGGGTCTTTGACCCCACATTTCCCTTCCACACTGCCCTATCAGAGGTTCTCCATAAGAGCCCTGCCCCTGCAGCAAACTTGCCTGGGCATCCAGGTGTTTCCATACATCTTCTGAAATCTATGCAGAGGTTCCCAAACCTCAGTTCTTGGCTTCTGTGCACCTGCAGGCTCAACATCACATGGAAGGTGCCAAGGCTTGGAGTTTTTACCCTCTAAGGCCACATTCTGAGCTGTACATTGGCCCCTTTCAGCCATGGTTGGAGCAGCTGGAACACAGGACACCAAGTCCCTAGGCTGCACACAGTGTAGGGACCCTGGGCCCAGCCCTTGAAGCCACTTTTTCCTCCTGGGCCTCCAGGCCTGTGATGGGAGGAGCTGCTGTGAAGGTCTGTGACGTGGCCTAGAGACATTTTCCCCATGGTCTTGGGGATTAACATTAGGCTCCTTGCTATTTATGAAAATTTCTACAGCTGGCTTGAATATCTCCCCAGAAAATGGGTTTTTCTTTTCTATCACATTGTCAGGCTGCAAATTTTCTAAACTTTTGTGCTCTGCATCCTTTGTAAAACTGAATGCCTTTAATAGTACCCAAGTCATCTCTTGAATGCCTTGTTGCTTAGAAATTTCTTCCACCAGATATCCTAAATCATCTTTCTCAAGTTCCACAAATCTCTAGGACGGGGGCAAAATGCCTCCAGTCTCTTTGCTAAAACATAACAAGAGTCACCTTTAGTCTAGTTCCCAATAAGTTTCTCATCTCCATCTGAGACCACCCCAGCCTGGACCTTATTGTCCACATTGCTATCAGCATTTTGGGCAAAGCCATTCAACAAGTTTTTAGGAGGTTCCAAACTTTCCCACATTTTCCTGTCTTCTTCTGAGCCCTCCAAACTGTTCCAACCTCTGCCTGTTACCCAGTTCCAATTCCACATTTTTGGGTATCTTTTCAGCAATGCTCCACTCTACTGCTACTAATTTACTGTATGAGTTCATTTTCACACTGCTGATAAAGACATACCTGAAAGTGGGAACAAAAAGAGGTTTAATTGGACTTACAGTTATATATGGCTAGGGAGGCCTCAGAATCATGGTGGGGGGTGAAAGGCATTCCTTACATGGTGGTGGCAAGAGACAAATGAGAATATCACTATCACGAGAATAGCACGGGAAAGACTGGCCCCCATGATTCAATTACCTCCCCCGGGTCCCTCACACAGCACGTGGGAATTCTGAAAGATACAATTCAAGTTGAGATTCGGGTGGGGTCACAGCCAAACTATATCACCCACCTTCTTCCAGGGCTTTCTGTTATAGAAAGCAAAACCTGCAAGCCTCTGGGAGAGGGATACGAAACCCTCCTTCTCTAAGACACAGGCAAAGGTCCACTGACTCTAGGGGAGGGGATAAAGCAAAAAAGAACCAGAAAAGAGGGCATTCAGGAAACTGCCCCATCCCCTGCTATACTGTCACTGAGAAAGGGGTAGAAACAAAAACTATTTCTTCTAAGGGGGTGGGTGGGGAGAAGGCAGCAAATCCAGCAACTCTGACCAAGAGCCTTGTTCCAAGGAGCAAGCATTAGCAGGCTACTGCATGGACATCGGGAAATGGCCCCAGTCTCAGGCAATGTTACACTGATGCTGATGGAGGGGTAGATGCAGAAGCTGTCTGTCCTCAAGGAGGGGAGAGGAAACCCAATCTGGACAGAAGCCTGCAGAGCTACAAAGAAGAGGTCTGCATCACTACGGGTCCCTCCTGACTAAGACTCCCCCACAGTCCAGCATTTGGCTGCAGAGTGTGGGATATGGTGCAGGAATGCTGAGAATTCCACACCATAGTGGCCGAGCCCCTTAGGACTCACCTAAGACTGAGGCTGGAGTAGGGGCGCCTAGGAACTATCCTAAGTCCAGCATACACCTCACACCCAATAGTGAGCAAGAGCAAAGAAGAAAAGAAGGGAAATTTCAACAAATTATCAATAGTTGAGTGGGGCCTAGCATGAGTTTAGAATCCCTGGGAGCCTCAGATACTCAGTTGACCAAGCACCCAGTTCTGCCCCAGACTGAGGGGTTTCCTGGGACACAGGACTTTCCATGCTTAAACTGCAAAAGTTCCCCGCAAACCGGGATGAGTTGGTCTCTACTGCTGGGGAGCACACAGAGAGAACCACGCATGTGGCACAGGCATGCTGAGAGCTGAGAGTAGAGAAGAAACAAGGAATAGCCCCTCTGGCCCTCCAGGCCTCACAGTAAGCACAAGGCAGCAGCAGCTCATCGTGGAAAGAATCTGAGGAGTGTGATGCATTACAAGTTAATTCAGTAAAACAAACCCCAAATCTAGCCTGTTCCCCCAGCCCCCAACTTATGATCTGGTAGAAAAGGCAAGCTTAATTCTGGGTATAAATACTATTTACCTCAGTCTCTACTGTTCCTTTATGTTTGGCGTTGAATAAAAAGTATGAACACACATACACATACATAAAACAAGGCAAAAAACAAAAAGATAATCCACTGTGACGAGATAAAGCAGTCAACAGAATGAGACAAAGAAGTGGTCCAGATATTAGAACTATCAGATAGGGACATTAAACTAATTATCATTAATATATAGAAGGATCTAGAGGAAAAGGTGGTGAACATGCATGAGCAGATGAAGAATGTCAGCAGAAAGACAAAAACTAAACAAATTCCAAGGGAAATGCTGACAAATCTCCCCACAACATCAAGAGATAAAGAATTAATGGGCTTGGCAGCCTGGATACAGTAAAAAATCAGTAAACTTGAAGACAGATCAATAGATTTATCCAAACTGAATCAAAGAGAGAAAAAAATATGTGTAATTAGAGTCCCATAAGGGTGGGGTGGGGCAGAAGGGGGAGGGGAGAGAGAGAGAGAGATAAATTGAGACAGAAGATTTCTTAAGCAAATGCATAAAGAGAAAGCAGACAGTTAGTCCTCATCTGGAAAACTGTGAAGTGGGTGAAATCTAATGTGAGCAAATGATTATCCTCTTTCTTCTGGCATCATACTTTCTGGTATGATGCCAGAAGAAAGAGGTTACCTGTTAAAGAATATCCAAACTATGTTAGTTGTTGACAGCACAAGGTCTGATTGTATCCAGGGGATATTTGCATTTCACTGAAGGAACATTTGCATAAAGATGGAAGGTCTTCAAGGTCCACATTAATGAATTTATGGTGAAATATCCACCCTCTGCCCAGCTAATGGGACTAATTTGAGGTCCATACCTTATCTAAGACCACTCATACACATCATTCGAAGTGGTACTCACATTAAACCTTCTAGGATGAAGGCTGGACTTTTATACCCATTGTTTCAGTTGTGACTCAAAGGGGTCCAGCCACAGGGCAGAGAGGGGCTGGAGCTGTGAGCCTGCTTCCTGGGTCAGTAATTTTGTTTCTGTGCTCTATGAGACTGATGCACAAACTTGGAGGCTCAGGACTGTGACAGTCCCCAACACCAGACAGTCTAGCAGAGCACCTAGAGCCAGGAACTTTCCCTCCAACAGTTGCCCTATGGTTGTGCTTTTCAAAGTATTGTTTCTGGACCCCTCCATCAGAATTGCCAAGGTGCTCCTATTCTGTCTGATCTACTTTGACATTTAGTCATGTTCTCACCACACTTTATCCCACCTTTTCAGAGCCACCACTATCTCTCAGAATTGTCATAAAAGTTTCTCAACTGATCTCCCCACTTCCATACTTGCTTCCCCATAGTGTATTCTCAACACAGCAAGCAGTCAGAGTGATACTTTTATAAGTACTTGTAAACCTTTTCGCATCATCTTCAAAACAGTATTTGGGCTCCCATCTCACCCAGAGCAAAAGAGTAAGTCTTTGCAGTGGCCTACAAAGCTCTACAGAATCTGGGCTCCATTACCTCTCTGACTTTATCTCCTGTTGCTCTCCATGTGGCCCACTGTCCACTACCATGCTGACTTCCTGGAAGATCCTCAAAACCCCCTCAGCCCTAGGATCTTTGCACATGCTCACTCCTCTGCCTAGAACGCTCTTCTTTCAGACACTCACGTGGCTCACCTCTCACTTCCTTCAGGTGCCTGCTCAAATACCGCGTTGTAAGAAAGGTCTTTCCTGCCCATCCTGTTCAACATAGTGCCCCACTCCTACCCTTGGTACACTTTCTGCCTTATCCCTATAATGGTTTTCAAAGCACTTACACCGTCTAATACACAAGACAGTTCCTAGTTTATGTGTTCATTCTCTGTCTTTCCCCACTAGACTATAAGCCCCCGAAGGCAAGGACTTGTGTGTTTTGTCCTCTGCTGTGTCATCAGTATTTGCATGGGTGCCTGGCATAAAATGAGAGCTTAGTAAATATTTATACTATGGGAAGAGCTAGAAGCAAATTTTCCTTTCTCTAAATGTGGGGGTACTTGGAGAGAAAAGGACTCCTAAACATGGCTAAAACATGTACAAACTTTACTGCTGCTTCCCATCATCCTGAGACCTGGGAGGAATAAAAGAAAGGATGGCAAGCTGAATGGGATTTTAAAGGCTAGATCTTGCCATTCTAGGTAATTAATACATGACTCCTGCTCATGATAAAGAAGGTGGTGGTGTTTGCATCAGTGTATGGATCTCTAAGGGGGCTGGGCCTGGTATCATCCAGTCAAGCATAGAGCAGAGTGTCCAGGCAGGTCCTGGCAGGTGTGGTGGAAGATTGGCAGTGGCCACTGGATGAGGTGCATGTCCTGATGCCTCAGGCAGTCCTGGACAGACGGTCATTTGGCTCCTTCTTTTTGGCATAGGTTGGCCACTTGTCAAGTGTGGCCAGGCCTTCAGGCTGGGCTGCTCGGTCATAAGTAATACACTAACCTGGCTGGGCACGGTGGCTCATGCCTGTAATCCCAGCACTTTGGGAGGCCGAGAAGGGCGGATCACGAGGTCAGGAGATCAAGACCATCCTGGCTAACATGGTGAAACCCCGTCTCTACTAAAGAAATACAAAAAATTAGCCGGGCATGGTAGCGGGCCCCTGTAGTCCCAGCTACTGGCGAGGCTAAGGCAGGAGAATGGTGTGAACCCGGGAGGCGGGGCTTGCAGTGAGCCGAGATCGCACCACTGCACTCCAGCCTGGGTGACAGAACAAGACTCTATCTCAAAAAAAAAAAAAAAAAAAATAGTAATACACTAACCCTTTAAACACACACACACACACACAAACACACACACACAAACAAGCACAGTTCCACATTTCAACTCTCATTCTGGTGCCTAAATTCAACCTGTCCTATGATTATGTTGCATTTTCAGCTTTATATTTAAGGTCTACACAGAATTCCACTACATTAGGAAACATCTTGTGACAAACCGTCTCATTACAAGTGTCATTTTCTTGAGGAACTCCCATAGAGGGTGATGTGGTTTGGCTCTATGTCCCCACCCAAATCTCATGTCAAATTGTAATCCCCACACATCAGGAAAGGGGCCTGGTGGGAGGTGATTGGATCATGGGGGTGGATTTCCCCCTTGCTGTTCTCATGATAGTGAGTGAGTTCTCATGAGATCTGGTTGTTTGAAGGCTTGTGGCACGTTCCCCTTCACTCTCTCTTGCTTCACCATGGTAAGACGTGCTTGCTTCCCTTTCACCTTCCACTATAATTGTAAGTTTCCTGAGGCTTCCCAGGCATGCTTCCTGTTAAGCCTGTGGAACTGTGAGTCAATTAAACCTCTTTTCCTCATAAATTACCCAGTCTCAGGTAGTTCTTTATAGCAATGTGAGAACAGACTAATACAGAGGGGATTGCCCATGGATCTTAATTAAGGGAGTGGGCCAGATGCTTCTTATGCACATTAAACACTGAGGACAGTGTTGTTGGCTTATATCTTGTAAAAGCTAACTTTCTACCTCTTCTTGCAGTTTGATTCAAAGAAGTCTAAAAGAGTCCTATGACACAAATGTCTTCCTTTCTAGCCACCCGTGGGGTCAAAAGTTCCTACCCTGGCACTCTTTTTGGGAGACAGAGACTTTTACGTAAGTTAAAGCACCAGGTGACCTGAAATTGCTCTAAGTTAAATGCGTCTTGGCAGGGATTAAATGGTTTGGTTGATCCCTTGTCCCAGGGCAGAGAACAAGGTGAGGAAACAGAAGCAGGGGAGAAGGCTGCAGAGGGAAGGGGCTGAGTGGCACTTGGGGTGCCCTCTGGTAGTAGGGACTGCTTAGGTGCACAGATGGGAACATGAGCAAGTGGGATTGAGGTTTGAACTCTGGGCACCCCAGAGACTGGGGAGGCCAGGAAGGTAACAAGGAGTAAACTTCAGAGGAGAGATATTTAATTAACTGCAAAGAAGACAACACATCTGATTGTGAACTCCTCATCACTGGAGTGTTCCAGAGAGCCTGGAGGATGACTTGCTGGGGAAGCTCAGGTTGAACAGAGGCCTGAGTTTGGACTTGGGCTCTCTAAGGCTCCTTCTAGATTTATAACTCTAAGTGCCAGGCATTGAATGTATAATTCCTGGTTCACCAGTTTGCCTGGGCCAACCTGGCCTGTAGTTCATGTGGTTTATGGGAATCAATCCAGGTCTGTGTAGAATTTTCTGAGGCATTAATAATTCAGTTGCAGTAAGCTCCAAGGCAGAGCCAGTAACATCTGAATATGAGTCAGTAAAAAAATGCAGGACTCAAGAAGTTTAGTTCAAATCAAAGGAAAACTCTATCTCCTGGAGCACTAACTTCCAAATTCTGGGCCACAGCTATTCTAGGAGTCAAGTGTGGTGAACAATCACCTGGGCGACACAAGGAAGCATCTCTGGGGAGAGCTGGCTCTTTGTGGTAGGGGGATGGACAGTGCCTACAGAAGTGGGGTCAATGCTCAAACACTTTATTCACATTCAAGGGAGCAGGTGGGGGAAAACAGATGAAACTATAATGGCTGGTCAGAAACTCTAGAAGGGTCATATATCAGTGACTTCATTATGCAAATCACTTCATTAGGCAGGAAAAATTTTCTGTTTCATTTACTTTTAGGAGAAAGAAAAACATCATAAGAGAGAAAAATGATATTAGAAATTTCTTTAATCTATTTGATAAGAAGTTATTTATTTACAATAAACTGCATCTATTTCAAGTATACAATACAATGAGTTTGACACTTGTATACACCCATGTCACAACCACTACAATCAAGATACAGGATATTTCCTTAACTTTAAAAACTTCTTCATACCACAGTCCATTCTCCCCTTCACCCATGGTTGTAGACAACCACTGATTTTCTTTTCTTCAGTATATATGTGGAGTCTTCAAATAATTCACAGAAAATGCATATTATGGAAAACCTATAATGGATTTAAAATATTTTTTGTGCCAAAATAAACTTGTACCAGGTAGTTATAACATATCTGAACAGGATCTAGTTTGAGGCACTAAGAAAGATAAGAAAGACATGGGTTTGAAAGACCCCCTATCACAGCAACATGAATTCTCCTAAAATTGAAGCAAGAACGAACATCCACTTGATGCTGAAGCTTGGGTGGAAGAAGGGTGAAATCATTGATGCTTCACAAAATGTTTAAGGAGGCAATGCCCCAAAGAAATCCACAGTTACAAATGGGTAACTCATTTTAAGAAGGGACAAGATGATATTGAAGATGAAGCCTGCAGTAGCAGACCATCACATCAATTTGTCAGGGAAAAAAGAATCTTGTTCCACTCTAATAGAAGAGGACCGATGATTAACAGCATGAACAATAGCTAACACCATAGACATCTCAATTGGTTCAGCTTACATATTCTGACTGAAAGATGCCCACATAAGCTGGGGCCAAGAGCAGAGCTTTCAATGGACATTTTAAACAATGGGATCAAGATCCTGAAGCATTTCTTTGAAGAATTATAACAGGAGATAAAACATGGCTTTACCAATATGATCCTAAAGACAAAGGACAAGCAACATAATGGCAGCCAACAGGTGGAAATGGTCCAGTCAAAACAAAATTGGACCAGTCAAGAGCAAAGGTCATGGTAATGGTTTTTTGGGGGATGCTCAAGGTGTTTTGCTTGCTGACTTTCCGGAGGGTCAGATAATGGTAACATCTGCTCATTATGAAAATGTTTTGAGAAAGTTAGCCAAAGCTTTGGCAGAAGGACACCCAGGAAAGCTTCACCAGAGAGTCCTTCATCATGACAATGCTCTTGCTCATTCTTCTCATCCAACAAGGACAATTTTGCAAGAGTTTTGATGGGAAATTGTTAGGCTTACAGTCCTGATTTGGCTCCTGACTTCTTTTTGTTTCCTAATCTTAAAAAAGTCTGTAAAGGATACCCATTTTTCTTCAGCTAACAGTGTTAAAACAAAACAAAACACAGTATTGACATTGTTTAAATTCCCAGGACTTTCAGTTCTTTAGGGATGAACTAAATGTCTGATACCATCACAAAAAAATGTGTCATGACTTTGATGGAACTTATGTTGAGAAATAAAGTTCACATTTTCTATTTTATCTTTTCATTCAATTCTGTTCACAAACTTTTCAACTCCCTCTTGTATTAGTTTGCATTTTACCTAAATGGAATCTTAAGTATGCACTCTATTATATGTGGATTCCTTCACTCACTGTAAAAATTATAAGATTAATTCATGTAATTGATTGTATCAGTAGTTTATTCCCTGTTTTTCTAAGTAATACTGCATTAAGTATCTCAAAGTGTACCACATTTTATTTATTCTTTCACATGTTGACGGATACTTGAGTTGTTTCTAGTTTTTGACAATTATAAATAAAGCTTCTATGAATATTTGTGTATAGATTTTTAGCAAACATACATTTCATGGATAAATAAATAAATTTCTTGGGTAAACACATAGAAGTGAGATTGCTGGATTAGGTATGCATATGTTTCTAAGAAACTGCCAACCAGTTTTTCCAAAGTACCTGCATAATTTTCCATTTCAGTCAACAATGTATGAGAGTTCCAATTGTTCTGCATATTCACAAGCACTTGATATTGCCTTTTTCTTTAGCAACCCTAATAGGTATGTAGTAGTAATTTTTTGTCTTAAATTTGCATTTCCTTAATGTGTAATGATGTTGGGCATCTTCTCGTATGCTTATTTGCCATCCATATTTCCTCATTAGTGAAGTGTCTAGATCTTTCCTCATTTAAAAAAATTGTGTCGTTTTCTTATTGCTGAGATTTTTTGTTTGTTTGTTTTGACAGGGTCTCAGGTTGGAGTGCAGTGGCACAATCATGGATTACTGCAACCTCAATCTCCTGGGCTCAAGAAATCCTCTCACCTCAGCCTCTTGAGTAGCTGGGACTACAGGTGTTCACCACCACACCTGGCTAATTTTAACCATTTTTGTAGAGACAAGGGTCTCACTATGTTGCCCAGCCTGGTCTTAAACTGGGCTCAAGAGATCCTCCCATCTCAACCTCCCAAACTGCTGAGATTAAGGGCCTGAGCCACTGAGCTGAATCTACTGTTGAGTTTTGAGAGCTATTTACATATTTTGAATACAAGTGTTCAGTCAAATGTATCTATTGAAAATATTTTCTACCAGCCTGTGCCTTGTCTTTTCATTCGTGTAAGAGTGTTTTTAACAGGTAAAAAATTTTAATTTAAATGGAGTCTAATTTATTAATTTATTTCTTTTATGGATCATACGTCTGGTGTTATAGCTAAATAACTCTTTGCTTAACTCAAGGTTATAAAGATTTTCTTATTTGTTTTCTTTTAGATGCTTTATAGATACACTTTTTAATTTTATTCTATGGCGCATTTTGAGTTAATGTTTGTGTAACATGTAAGATACAGATTGAGGTTAACTTTCTGTTCTTGTATTTTTCCTGATGACTACCCAATTGCTTCAACATCATTTGTTGAAAAGAGGAACTCTTCTGTATTGGTTTGCTTTTGCACATTTGCCAAAAATCTGTTGACTATATTTGTAGAATCTATTTCTGCATTTTTTATTTTATATGACTGATCTGTATGTGTATATTTTTTACGAATACCACAATATATTGATAACTTTAAACTTACGAGTTTTGATATTAAGTAGTGTGGGTGGTCCAACTTTTTCTTTTTCAAAACTGTTCTGGCTGTATTAATTCCTTTGTCTTTCCATGTAAGTTTTAGATTTAGCTCCTTATTATCTATGAAATAGATCTTTGAGATTTTGATTTGTATTGCATTGTAACTATTGCTCAATCTGGGGAGAATTGGCATCTTATCAAGATTAAATCTTCCATTCCATGAACATCATATGTCTCTCCATTTATTTAGATCTTGTTTTCTTTTATCAATGTGTTGTAGTTTTCTGCATACAAATTCTATACATATTTTGTAGGATTGACACCTAACTAGTTCATTTTTTGTATGTTATTGTAATTGGGACTGTTTTGTAAATTTTGAACTCTATATTTTTGGAATTCTGTGCTAGCCTATAGAAATGCAATTGATCTTTGTACCTTGATTGTGTATCCTGCAACCCTGACAAACTCACTTATTAGTTCTATGAACCTTTTGAAAATTGATTTTTGGAATGTTTTAGAGGAAAAATAATGTTTCAGAGGGAGTTTTATTTATTTTCAATCATCTTTTAAAAAAAATCTTGTTACATTGGCTGGAGTTTTTGTAAAATATTGAATAGGAGTGGTGATAGGGGGCATCATTACCTTGTTTCTAAGGTTAGGAGAAAAGCACTTAGCTTTTCAACGTTAATAGCTATAGTTGTTGTTTGTTGTATGTTGTGTGTATGTGTGTGTGTGTGTGTGTGATATGCCATCTATCAGTATGGAAGTCTCCTTATTTTTTTAGATTCCTGAAAGTTTTTTTTTTTTATGATAAACAGATGTTGAATTTTACCAAATATTTTTGTGTATCTATTGACATAATCATATGGTTTTTCTTCTTTAGTCTGTTAATATTGTGACTTACATTGATTGATTTTGGAATATTGAACCAAACCTTGTATAAACCCCTATTGGTTATGATATATTATTATATGTAGTTATTGCTGGATTTGATTTCTTAATTTTTTTTGAGAATTTTTGCATTTATGTTCATGAGGGATATTGGTCTATAGTTTTGTTTTCTAGTAATGTCTTTGTCTAGTTTGAGTATTAAGGTAATGCTGGCCACATAAAATTAGTTAAGAAGTTGTCTCTCTCCTGTTTTCTTAAAGAGATGGTATACAATTAATATTATTTCTTCCTTAAATGTTTTGTAGAATTCACCAGTGAAACAATCTAGGCCTGTAGTTTTCTTTTTTGGAAGGTTTTTAATTGCAAATCCAATTTAAAATAAATATAGTATTATCTGAGTTATTTATTTCTTCTTCAGTGAGTTCTGGTAGTTTATATCTTTCAAGACATTGAAATAATTATGTAAATTATCAAATTTTTGGACATAGAATTGTCTGTTATATCCTCCTATTTTTCTTTTGATGTCTGTGTTTTCTTTTTTTCTCCCTTGGTCAATCTTGCTACAGGGTCATCAATTTTATTGATCTCTTCTAAGACCAGCTTTTTGTTTCATTGATTTTTCTCTGTTGTTTTTCTGTTTCCATCTCGGCAATGATTTTTTGGACTTGGCAAAATGAAAAGACAACTGACATAATGGAAGAAAATAATTACAAGCTATTTATCTAATAAGGAGTTAATATCCAAAATATATAAGGAACTCATATAACTCAATAGCAAAAGAACAAATAACCCCATTAAATAATGGACAAAGGACTTAAACATTTTTCCAAAGAAGACATAAAAGTGGCCAAAAAATATCTGAAAAGATACTGAACACCACTAATCACCAGAAAATTGCAAATCAAAAGTACAATGAGATATCACATTTTGTTGATTTTTTTTGTCTAGTTGTTCTATCAATTCCTGAGAGAAGGGTGTTAAATTTTCCTACTATAATTTTTTTATTGTTTATTTTGCCTTAGTTGTATCAATTTTCACTTCTTGTATTTTGAAGCTCTATTATTATGTGTATACACATTTTTGATTATTAAATCTTACCAATTACTTGAGCTAAAAAGGCCCCAATAGATAATGTTATCATTATGAAGGGCTCTCTTTATCTTTGATAATACTGTAATTTTTACTCTTTATCTGATAGTCTGTTTTATCTGATTTTAATATATCAATTTTAATCTTCTTAAGCTATTTACATGGTATTTCTTTTTTCTTCTATTTACTGTCCATCTTTATATTTAGTCTATGTCTTCATATTTAAAACATGTTTCTTGTAGACAACATAAATTTAATCTTGCCTTTAAAATAATCCATTCTGATAATCTTTGGCATGCTTAGTACATTAGCATTTAATGAAATTACTGACATGATTGGATTTAGTCCTACCAATTTATTATTTATTTGGTTGTTCTCTTTGCCCATTTTTCTTTTGCTATTCTCTTTCTGCCTTCTTTTGCATTATATATGTATTTTACCATTCAATTTTAATGTTCTGTATTAGATTTTTAGCAATATTTCTTGGTGTAATCTTTCTAGTTGATGTACTATGGTTAGCCTTTCATAGGGTAAGTTAACTTAGAGTTAGTAATTTAAAGTTAGTCTTATACCACTTTATTTAAAATATATAATCCTTGCAATTATTTAGGTCTATTCATTTATGCCTCTACCATTCTCTATATTATGGTTACTATATGTATTAGATATATATACATTGTAAATTCTATAAGGCAATGCTAAAAGTTTGTCTCTAAACAGTCGTCTGTATTATAAATAAATTGAGAGAAGAAATAGTCTTTTATAAATATCGTTATGTTTATTCTTTTCTGAATTTTCCTGTGGTATCATTTCCCTTCAGCCTACAAAACTCAGTATAACATTTCTTGTGGTACAAGTCTGGTGGCAATGAATACCCTTAGTTTTTCATTATTTGAAAATATCTTTATATCAGCTTCATTCTTAAAAGACATTTTTGCAGAACATGAAATTCTTAGTTAATAGGTTTGTTTTTTCTACTAATGCTTTAAAGATATTATTTTACTGTATGCTTCCTTTGTTTCTGATGAGAAGCCATGATTATTCAAATAGTGTTGAATATAGTGGGTCATTTTCTTGGGGTGATGTCATAATTTTCTCTCTATCTTTGGTTTTCAGCTGTTTGACCACGATGTGCCTAAGTATGATTCTTTCAAATTTATCCTGTTTGAGATTCATGGAATTGGTTTAATCTGTAAATTTAAGTCATTAACCAGATTTCGGAAATTTTTGGCTATGATTTCTTGAAATATGTTTACTGTCCTATTATTTTTCTCCTTTCCTTTATTGACTACATTTCCACATATGCTAGATCTTTTGAAGTTGTTCCATAGATCAGTGAGGCTCTGTTCACTTTTTTCCTGTTGTTCAGATTCTTCTTATTGATTCGTCTTCTAGTTATTACCTTCAGAGGAAAGCCACATGAAGTGAAAACTCATTGTGTTCCATGGTGTTCCTTGCTGTAGCTTTAGCTCTCCTCCAAAAACTGCTTGCTTTTGTTCAGTCTCCAGAGTCTCGTGTAGATGTTTTTGTATTTTGTCCAGATCTTATAACTCCTGTTGGCAGCAAGGTCAGTTTTTTAGATGCTCATTTCCCATACAGTGAAGGGTATTGTTTTTTACCTTGAAGTCAGCACAGATTTAACACAATTCCTTACAATTTATGCAATCATATTTATAGACAGTTCTCAATTAATTTGTAATTATAGTTACCTAAGGTTTGTAAAAAATAATTAAAGGTTAAAAGCTATTCATTATACCACACTTATTTATACAAGAAAAGAACTGATACTCTCACAACATTTTTCATTTATTTATTCCTAGTTAACTAGAAAGATCTTGCTGACTCTCAATGCCTTGGTTTCTTTATCAGTCAAAAAATAGTAAAATATATTAGCTTGTCCTGAAAAATATTCTAAAGATTTTGCCTGCAAAAATGTGTGGTTAAATGCATTTGGGATATGTAGTACTAAAGAGTTGAATAGAACTTTTTGCAGTACTTTTCAAAGCCCCTAATATACTAATATGTGTTTTGAGTTTCCAAAAAGAGGACAAAGTTAGTATTACTTAGTTTTCCTTTTTTCTCAGGCTTTAATATGGCTTAGCATGCCACTGTTACTGATGCTGTCTTTCTTTAAAATCTTGATATTTTATTAATTATGGATTTTCTACATGAATCTTATCTTTTAAATGCTGCATTAAAATATTGTTTATCTTGATTACTGAGTTTTATGGTGCCCCCTTAAATTTTGCACTGCAGGCAAGTACTTTGTTTACCTCAGGTGCCTCACTTGACCCTGCACTGTCAGCAACTAAATGGATAGACTTATTAATACAGTGTTGCATTTCTTAACACATTAAATCAAACAAACTCATCAGCTTACAAGACCCTCCATGGTTTGGCTCTTATCTTATGAACCTTGCCTCACTCTTTCTCTACTTCCTTCTTGTCACGTGAATGTTTTGCACTCACTCCTCCCTCCCAAGCTTTTGTTCCTTTTCCAGCCAAAGCAAGAATGTCTCCCTCTCTCCATTTCTTCTCAGCTAATCCAAATCCTTTTTAAGAATGCTGCTTAAGCCTCAGTCCCTCCTTTAAAGCTTCCCTGATCTCTGGAGGAAGGCCACAGACTCTCTCCATTTGCTGATTTGTTGTTAATGTGTTCACCAACAATCACACACAACTTGGTCCTGAATTATGCGCTACCTAGCATGATTTCTTGATCTTCTCATGGGTGCATGTCTTGTCCCCTCTGTGGTCCAGGGCCCATGTCTCACACTTAAGAATCCTTTAACACAAAGCATTGTGTGGAGCCACACAGGGCTAAGTAAATACTGTTAATTTGATAGGTTGCTCCAGAATTCCTTGAACTCACTCTTGTTCTCTTGATCTTTGCTGTTCTGTTTTTCTTACCCTTAAATTAGGGCGGGATCCATAATCTCAGGTTCAGTTGAATTTGGGCTAAACTTATGCTCATCAGCCTTGAACTCAACTCTAAATTCTAGGTATAAACATAGGGTGAATTCCTGAAGGATCTGCAAATTTATGGACACTTTCCTGCTAACCACATGTAGATCTAATACCTGTGGTAGACTAGGCCCCAGTATGCCTCCCACAGGTATAAACAGCAGAGCTGTTCCCTTCTAGAAATGTAGGACTGAACAAGACTATACCCAATGGGGTAGTGAGTGGGGTTATGTGTGTTCTTGTAACATGTTTTCTCTCTTCTATAAGGTGAGTTGTTTTACCTTCTCCTTCACCAAGAGCCTAAAATCATGCCGGGCTTCCTGCCCCAACTTTATCTGTGTACCAAGTTAATTGCCTGTCTTATCTGCTCAGAATACTGCAACCAGGAGGGACGGATGTTCAAAGGGCACTTCATGGCTTACTGAAGGTTTTCTCCAGCATATATCTGAAGCTTATGTGGAGACAAAAGGAGAGCAAAGGATCTAATAAAGGGAAATCTGACATAACCCTCTAAGGCTTCTTTCTACTGAGTTGGTCTTCAATACCAGAAATTGAATCCATATTTTGTGCAAAGAAAATTATAATCAGTTGGACAACTGATTCTCCAAGTCTTTCTTTTGATCATAACCATTTATCAATGGATGCCTCATTCTGATGTAGCCTGAAATAAAGAGTACAGTCTAATGCTGGTTTGCTAGTTGATCCTCTTCAGAAGTGTCAGTTTAGGACTTTTTGAATGGGCAAGAGACTGCCGAATCCAGTGCCTTCTGGCATAGACAAGGAAAAAAAGTGCTTGGGAAGAGAGCTGGACAACTCTAAGGGGCTTGGGGCACGGCTTTTTTGTCTTCATGGTGTTTGTATTGTAATAATGAACACGAGACTAGGGAATGAGAATCAATTTATAGGTCAGCTATTTGTTCGACTGTGATGATCTTTTGCCAGCTCCCAGGATCCCTGAAGGTTAGTCACTTTGACCATCACAGGTAACTATGCAGAGAAAAACTCCAGGCAAACACATTGTATGTACTATTCCAGTTTTTCTCTCAAATACTTGGTGAGCTGGGCTGATCGCTCAGCTTCAGACAGGGCTAATTCTGACATCAAAAGCAGGTAGAGGAGATTTTTTGATCCCCTTGCCTTGGGCGACTCCCTATCTTCTGCCTCCCAGGTGAGGAAAGGTGAAGAGAGATAAAATCAAGGAAGAGTACCTCAAAGTCTAAGCAATGAAGGGATTTTCTTGTTGATATCTGACTCAGAGGTCACCTAAGTCCATTTGTATGTGCTTTATTATCATGGTATCCAAACCTTTCCAGCTGGTTGGGGGATAGGAAATGGGGTTTCCAAACAAGACGAAACTCCAGGATGACCTTATAAGCCATACAAAAAAATGGACTCACAAGACAATGAATACCAAAACCCAAGAAGGATGGTAGAAAAGGAGGGCTTGTATTCAAAGCTGCTAAACATGTGACCAGTTATACACTGCCAAAGCAGATTCACACAGGTATAGAATTATATACAGAGTCATCCATGGGCTTGTGTGTATAAGTAATTCATTATTGTTTTAATGATGCATATTATTTCATGGTCTGGAACACCACAATTTATTTATCTTCTTTTATTTGTTGAACATTTGAGTTGTTTTCCATTTTTGACTACTGTGAGAAAAAGCAGCTATGAACATTTTTGGAAAAGTCTTTTTGTAAATATATATGCATTTCTCTTAGATATATACTTCTAGATAAGAAGGAAGGCATGCGTTTATCTTTACTAGAAATCACCAATGAGTTTTCCAATGTGAATGCACCATTTTACACTCTCATCAGCAGTGTATGAGAATGTTGCTCCACATTCTCGACATTTGTATTGTCAGTCTTTTTAATATTAACCATTCCAGTGGGTGAGAAAAGGTATCTCATTGTAGTTTTTAAAAATAAGCTTATGAAGGTATAATTTACACATAATAAAATACACTAGTTTTAAGTGTACAGTTTGATGAGTTTTGAAAATGTATGTACCTATGGAACCACCACAACAACCCAGATGATATGGTTTGGCTGTGTCCCCACCCAAATCTCACCTTGAATGGAAGCTCCCACAATTCCCCCGTGTCATGGGAGGGACTTGGTGGGTGGGAGGTAATTGAATCATGGGGGCAGGTCTTTCCTGTGCTGTTCTCATGATAGTGAATAAGTCTCACGAGGTCTGATGGTTTTATAAAGGGGAGTTTCCCTGCACAAGCTCTGTTATTCTCTCTTGTCTGCAACCATGTAAGACATGCCTTTCACCTTGTGTCATGATTGTTAGGCCTCCCCAGCCACGTGGAACTGTGAATCCATTAAGCCTCTTTTTCCTTGTAAATTACCCAGTCTCAGGTATGTCTTTTTTTTTTTAACTTTTGATTAAAAAATTCTTTTTTTTTTTAAATTATTATTATTATACTTTAAGTTTTAGGGTACATGTGCACAACAGGCAGGTTAGTTACATATGTATACATGTGCCATGCTGGTGTGCTGCACCCATTAACTCGTCATTTAGCATTAGGTATATTTCGTAATGCTCCCCCTCCCCGCTCCCCCCACCCCACAACAGGCCCCAGAGTGTGATGTTCCCCTTCCTGTGTCCATGTGTTCTCATTGTTCAATTCCCATCTATGAGTGAGAACATGTGGTGTTTGGTTTTTTGTTCTTGCGATAGTTTACTGAGAATGATGATTTCCAATTTCATCCATGTCCCTACAAAGGACATGAACCCATCCTTTTTTATGGCTGCATAGTATTCCATGGTGTATATGTGCCACATTTTCTTAATCCAATCTATCATTGTTGGACATTTGGGTTGGTTCCAAGTCTTTGCTATTGTGAATAGTGCCACAATAAACATACGTGTGCATGTGTCTTTATAGCAGCACGATTTATAGTCCTTTGGTTATATACCCAGTAATGGGATGGCTGGGTCAAATGGTATTTCTAGTTCTAGATCCCTGAGGAATCGCCGCACTGACTTCCACAATGGTTGAACTAGTTCACAGCCCCACCAACAGTGTAAAAGTGTTCTTATTTCTCCACATCCTCTCCAGCACCTGTTGTTTCCTGACTTTTTAATGATTGCCATTCTAACTGGCGTGAGATGGTATCTCATTGTGGTTTTGATTTGCATTTCTCTGATGGCCAGTGATGATGAGCATTTTTTCACGTGTCTTTTGGCTGCATAAATGTCTTCTTTTGAGAAGCATCTGTTCATATGCTTTGCCCACTTTTTGATGGGGTTGTTTGATTTTTTCTTGTAAATTTGTTTGAGTTCATTGTAGATTCTGGATATTAGCCCTTTGTCAGATGAGTAGGTTGTGAAAATTTTCTCCCATTCTGTAGGTTGCCTGTCCACTCTGATGGTAGTTTCTTTTGCTGTGCAGAAGCTCTTTAGTTTAATTAGATCCCATTTGTCAATTTTGGCTTTTGTTGCCATTGCTTTTGGTGTTTTAGACATGAAGTCCTTGCCCATGCCTATGTCCTGAATGGTAATGCCTAGGCTTTCTTCTAGGGTTTTTATGGTTTTAGGCCTAATGTTTAAGTCTTTAATCCATCTTGAATTAATTTTTGTGTAAGGTGTAAGGAAGGGATCCAGTTTCAGCTTTCTACATATGGCTAGCCAGTTTTCCCAGCACCATTTATTAAATAGGGGATCCTTTCCCCATTGCTTGTTTTTGTCAGGTTTGTCAAAGATCAGATAGTTGTAGATATGTGGCATTATTTCTGAGGGCTCTGTTCTGTTGCATTGATCTATATTTCTGTTTTGGTACCAGTACCATGCTGTTTTGGTTACTGTAGCCTTGCAGTATAGTTTGAAGTCAGGTAGCGTGATGCCTCCAGCTTTGTTCTTTGGGCTTAGGATTGACTTGATGATGCGGGCTCTTTTTTGGTTCCATATGAACTTTAAAGTAGTTTTTTCCAATTCTGTGAAGAAAGGCATTGGTAGCTTGATGGGGATGGCATTGAATCTATACATTACCTTGGGCAGTATGGCCATTTTCACGATATTGATTCTTCCTACCCATGAGCATGGAATGTTCTTCCATTTGTTTGTATCCTCTTTTATTTCATTGAGCAGTGGTTTGTAGTTCTCCTTGAAGAGGTCCTTCACGTCCCTTGTAAGTTGGATTCCTAGGTATTTTATTCTCTTTGAAGCAATTGTGAATGGGAGTTCACTCATGATTTGGCTCTCTGTTTGTCTGTTATTGGTGTATAAGAATGCTTGTGATTTTTGTACATTGATTTTGTATCCTGAGACTTTGCTGAAGTTGCTTATCAGCTTAAGGGGATTTTGGGCTGAGACAATGGGGTTTTCTAGATATACAATCATGTCATCTGCAAACAGGGACAATTTGACTTCCTCTTTTCCTAATTGAATACCCTTTATTTCCTTCTCCTGCCTGATTGCCCTGGCCAGAACTTCCAACACTATGTTGAATAGGAGTGGTGAGAGAGGGCATCCCTGTCTTGTGCCAGTTTTCAAAGGGAATGCTTCCAGTTTTTGCCCATTCAGTATGATATTGGCTGTGGGTTTGTCATAGATAGCTCTTATTATTTTGAGATACGTCCCATCAATACCTAATTTATTGAGAGTTTTTAGCATGAAGGGTTGTTGAATTTTGTCAAAGGCCTTTTCTGCATCTATTGAGATAATCATGTGGTTTTTGTCTTTGGTTCTGTTTATATGCTGGATTACATTTATTGATATGCATATATTGAATCAGCCTTGCATCCCAGGGATGAAGCCCACTTGATCGTGGTGGATAAGCTTTTTGATGTGCTGCTGGATTTGGTTTGCTAGTATTTTATTGAGGATTTTTGCATCAATGTTCATCAAGGATATTGGTCTAAAATTCTCTTTTTTTGTTGTGTCTCTGCCCGGCTTTGGTATCAGGATGATGCTGGCCTCATAAAATGAGTTAGGGAGGATTCCCTCTTTTTCTATTCATTGGAATAGTTTCAGAAGGAATGGTACCAGTTCCTCCTTGTACCTCTGGTAGAATTCGGCTGTGAATCCATCTAGTCCTGAACTCTTTTTGGTTGGTAAGCTGTTGATTATTGGCACAATTTCAGCTCCTGTTATTGGTCTATTCAGAGATTCAACTTCTTTCTGGTTTAGTCTTGGGAGAGTGTATGTGTCGAGGAATTTATCCATTTCTTCTAGATTTTCTAGTTTATTTGCGGAGAGGTGTTTGTAGTATTCTCTGATGGTAGTTTGTATTTCTGTGGGATCGGTGGTGATATCCCCTTTATCATTTTTTATTGCGTTTATTTGATTCTTCTCTCTTTTCTTCTTTATTAGTCTTGCTAGCGGTCTATCAGTTTTGTTGATCCTTTCAAAAAACAGCTCCTGGATTCATTGATTTTTTGAAGAGTTTTTTGTGTCTCTATCTCCTTCAGTTCTGCTCTGATTTTAGTTATTTCTTGCCTTCTGCTAGCTTTTGAATGTGTTTGCTCTTGCTTTTCTAGTTCTTTTAATTGTGATGTTAGGGTGTCAATTTTGGATCTTTCCTGCTTTCTCTTGTGGGCATTTAGTGCTATAAATTTCCCTCTACACACTGCTTTGCATGTGTCCCAGAGATGCTGGTATGTTGTGTCTTTGTTCTCGTTGGTTTCAAAGAACATCTTTATTTCTGCCTTCATTTCGTTATGTACCCAGTAGTCATTCAGGAGCAGGTTGTTCAGTTTCCATGTAGTTGAGTGGTTTTGAGTGAGTTTCTTAATCCTGAGTTCTAGTTTGATTGCACTGTGGTCTGAGAGATAGTTTGTTATAATTTCTGTTCTTTTACATTTGCTGAGGAGAGCTTTACTTCCAACTATGTGGTCAATTTTGGAATAGGTGTGGTGCTGAAAAAAATGTATATTCTGTTGATTTGGGGGGAGAGTTCTGTAGATGTCTATTAGGTCCGCTTAGTGCAGAGCTGAGTTCAATTCCTGGGTATCCTTGTTAACTTTCTGTCTCGTCAATCTGTCTAATGTTGACAGTGGGGTGTTAAAGTCTGCCATTATTATTGTGTGGGAGTCTAAGTCTCTTTGTAGGTCACTCAGGACTTGCTTTATGAATCTGGGTGCTCCTGTATTGGGTGCATATATATTTAGGATAGTTAGCTCTTCTTGCTGAATTGATCCCTTTACCATTATGTAATGGCCTTCTTTGTCTCTTTTGATCTTTGTTGGTTTAAAGTCTGTTTTGTCAGAGACTAGGATTGCAACCCCTGCCTTTTTTTGTTTTCCATTTGCTTGGTAGATCTTCCTCCATCCTTTCATTTTGAGCCTGTGTGTGTCTCTGCATGTGAGATTGGTTTCCTGAATATAGCACACTGATGGGTCTTGAGTCCTTATCCAATTTGCCAGTCTGTGTCTTTTAATTGGGGCATTTAGCACATTTACATTTAAAGTTAATATTGTTATGTTTGAATTTGATCCTGTCATGATGATGTTAGCTGGTTATTTTGCTCGTTAGTTGATGCAGTTTCTTCTTAGTCTCGATGGTCTTTACATTTTGGCATGATTTTGCAGCGGCTGGTACCGGTTGTTCCTTTCCATGTTTAGTGCTTCCTTCAGGAGCTCTTTTAGGGCAGGCCTGGTGGTGACAAAATCTCTCAGCATTTGCTTGTCTGTAAAGTATTTTATTTCTCCTTCACTTATGAAGCTTAGTTTGGCTGGATATGAAATTCTGGGTTGAAAATTCTTTTCTTTAAGAATGTTGAATATTGGTCCCCACTCTCTTCTGGCTTGTAGAGTTTCTGCCAAGAGATCTGCTGTTATTCTGATGGGCTTCCCTTTGTGGGTAAGCCGACCTTTCTCTCTGGCTGCCCTCAACATTTTTTCCTTCATTTCAACTTTGGTGAATCTGACAATTATGTGTCTTGGAGTTGCTCTTCTCGAGGAGTATCTTTGTGGCATTCTCTGTATTTCCTGAATCTGAATGTTGGCCTGCCTTGCTAGGTTGGGGAAGTTCTCCTGGATAACATCCTGCAGAGTGTTTTCCAACTTGGTTCCATTCTCCCTGTCACTTTCAGGTACATCAATCGGAGGTAGATTTGGTCTTTTCACATAGTCCCATATTTCTTGGAGGCTTTGTTCATTTCTTTTTATTCTTTTTTCTCTAAACTTCCCTTCTTGCTTCATTTCATTCATTTCATCTTCCATTACTGATACCCTTTCTTCCAGTTGATCGCATCGGCTCCTGAGGCTTCTGCATTCTTCATGTAGTTCTCGAGCCTTGGCTTTCAGCTCCATCAGCTCCTTTAAGCACTTCTCTATATTGGTTATTCTAGTTATACATTTGTCTAAATTTTTTTCCAAGTTTTCAACTTCTTGGCCTTTGGTTTCAATTTCCTCCTGTAGCTTGGAGTAGTTTGATCGTCTGAAACCTTCTTCTCTCAACTCGTCAAAGTCATTCTCCGTCCAGCTTTGTTCCATTGCTGGTGAGGAACTGCGTTCCTTTGGAGGAGGAGAGGTGCTCTGCTTTTTAGAGTTTCCAGTTTTTCTGCTCTGTTTTTTCCTCATTTTTGTGGTTTTATCTACTTTTGGTCTTTGATGATGGTGATGTACAGATGGGTTTTTGGTGTGGATGTCCTTTCTGTTTGTTAGTTTTCCTTCTAACAGACAGGACCCTCAGCTGCAGGTCTGTTGGAGTTTGCTAGAGGTCCACTCCAGGCCCTGTTTGCCTGGGTATCAGCAGCGTGTCTGCAGAACAGTGGATTTTCGTGAACTGCGAATGCTGCTGTCTGATCGTTCCTCTGGAAGTTTTGTCTCAGAGGAGGACCTGGCCGTGTGAGGTGTCAGTCTGCCCCTACCGGGGGGTGCCTCCCAGTTAGGCTGCTCGGGGGTCAGGGGTCAGGGACCCACTTGAGGAGGCAGTCTGCCCCTTCTCAGATCTCCAGCTGCATGCTGGGAGAACCACTGCTCTCTTCAAAGCTGTCAGACAGGGACATTTAAGTCTGCAGAGGTTACTGCTGTCTTTTTGTTTGTCTGTGCCCTGCCCCTAGAGGTGGAGCCTATGGAGGCAGGCAGGCCTCCTTGAGCTGTGGTGGGCTCCACCCAGTTCCAGCTTCCCAGCTGCTTTGATTACCTAAGCAAGCCTGGGCAATGGCGGGTGCCCCTCCCCCAGCCTCGCTGCGCCTTGCAGTTTGATCTCAGACTGCTGTGCTAGCAATCAGCGAGACTCCGTGGGCGTAGGACCCTCCGAGCCAGGTGCCGGGTATAATCTCCTGGTGCGCCATTTCCTAAGCCCGTCGGAAAAGCACAGTATGCGGGTGGGAGTGACGCGACTTTCCAGGTGCTGTCTGTCACCCCTTGCCTCGCCCTGCTTCGGCTCGCACACGGTGCGCTCCACCCACTGTCTTGCGCCCACTGTCTGGCACTCCCTAGTGAGATGAACCCGGTACCTCAGATGGAAATGCAGAAATCACCTGTCTTTTGCGTCGCTCATGCTGGGAGCTGTAGACCGGAGCTGTTCCTATTCAGCCATCTTGGCTCCTCCAGGTATGTCTTTATCAGCAATGTGAAAACAGACTAATAAATCAGATATAGAATATTTTCATCACTCTCTTACCCCTTACCAGTCAGTAATGACCCCATACTCATCTCAACTTCAATCAATCATTGATGTTTTTGTCACTCTTGATTAGTTTGTCTTTTCTGAAATTTCATATGAATAGGATTATGCAATATAAACTTTATTTTTCACTTAGGAAATAGCATAATGTTTTTGAGTTATGGCTATGCTGTTTTGTGTATTAATAGAGTTTTTTTACATGAGTAGTATTTCAATGACAAATTAGGATACCACAATCTGTTGTTCATTCACTTGTTGATGGGTGTTTGAATTGTTTCCACATTTTGTCTGCTACAAATAAAGTTGCTACTGATATTTATGTAGAAACCCTGTGTAAACACAGAAAAGAGGAAATAATTAAGTAATGAATTATGAAAATAAACAAAACTTAGACTTAACAATACTAAAAATCAGTTATTTGAAGAGACAAACTAGACAAACCTCAAGCAAGACTGACCATGGGGGAAGTAAAAAAATACGTATATATATATTTTTTTTATTATTTATACTTTAAGTTCCAGGGTACTTGTGCACAACTTGCAGGTTTGTTACATAGGTATACATGTGCCATGTTGGTTTGCTACACCCATCAACTCGTCATTTACATTAGCTATTTCTCCTAATGCTATCCCTCCCCCTGCTCCCCACCCCGACAGGCCCCAGGGTGTGATGTTCCCTGTCCTGTGTCCATGTGTTCTTATTGTTTAACTCCAACCTATGAGTGAGAACATGCGGTGTTTGGGTTTCTGTTCTTGTGTTAGTTTGCTGAGAATGATGGTTTCCAGCTTCATCCATGTGTCTGCAAAGGACATGAACTCATCCTTTTTTATGGCTGCATAGTATTCCATGGTGTATATGTGCCACATTGTCTTAATCCAGTCTATCATTGATGGACATTTGGATTGGTTCCAAGACTTTGCTATTGTGGATAGTGCCACAATAAACATACGTGTGCATGTGTCTTTATAGTAGCATGATTTATAATCCTTTGGGTATATACCCAGTAATGGGATTGCTGGGTCAAATGGTATTTCTATTTCTAGATCCTTGAGGAATTGCCACACTGTCTTCCACAATGGTTGAACTAATTTCCACTCCCACCAACAGTGTAAAAGCATTCTTATTACTCCACATCCTCTCCAGCACCTGTCGTTTCCTGACTTTTTAATGATCGCCATTCTAACTGGTGTGAGATGGTATCTCATTGTGGTTTTGATTTACATTTCTCTGGTGGCCAGTGATGGTGAGCATTTTTTCATGTGTCTGTTGGCTGCATAAATGTCTTCTTTTGAGAAGTGTCTGTTCATATCCTTTGCCCACTTTTTGATGGGGTTGTTTGATTTTTTCTTGTAAATTTGTTTAAGTTCTTTGTAGATTCTGGATATTAGCCCTTTGTCAGATGGGTAGATTGCAACAATTTTCTCCCATTCTGTACGTTGCCTGTTCACTCTGATGATAGTTTCTTTTGCTGTGTAGAAGCTCTTTAGTTTAATTAGATCCCCTTTGTCTATTTTAGCTTTTGTTGCCATTGCTTTTGGTGTTTTAGTCATGAAGCCTTTGCCCATGCCTATGTCCTGAATGATATTGCCTAGGTTTTCTTCTAGGGTTTTTATGGTCTTAGGTCTTACATTTAAGTCTTTAACCAATCTTGAGTTAACTTTTGTATATGGTGTAAGGAAGGGATGCAGTTTCAGCTTTCTCATATTGCTAGCCAGTTTCCCAGCACCATTTATTAAATAGGGAATCCTTTCCACATTGCTAGCCAGTTTCCCAGCACCATTTGTTAAATAGGGGAATCCTTTCCCCATTTCTTGTTTTTGTCAGGTTTGTCAAAGATCAGATGGTTGTAGATGTGTGGTATTATTTCTGAGGTCTCTGTTCTGTTCCGTTGGTCTATATCTCTGTTTTGGTACCAGTACCATGCTGTTTTGGTTATTGTAGTCTTGTAGTACAGTTTGAAGTCACATAGCGTGATGCCTCCAGCTTTGTTCTTTTTGCTTAGGGTTGTCTTGGCTACACAGGCTGTTTTTTGGTTCCATATGAACTTTAAAGTAGTTTTTTCCAAATCTGTGAAGGAAGTCAGTGGCAGCTTGATACAGAGAGCATTGAATCTATAACTTACCTTGGGCAGTATGGCCATTTTCATGATATTGATTCTTCCTACCCATGAACATGGAATGTTCTTTCATTTGTTTGTGTCCTCTATTATTTCGTTGAGCAGTGGTTTGTAGTTCTCCTTGAAGAGGTCCTTCACATCCCTTGTAAGTTGGATTCCTAGGTATTTTATTCTCTTGGAAGCAATTGTGAATGGGAGTTCACTCATGATTTGGCTCTCTGTTTGTCTGTTATTGGTGTATAGGAATGCTTGTGATTTTTGCAAGTTGATTTTGTATCTTGAGACTTTGCTGAAGTTGCTTATTAGCTTAAGGAGATTTTGGGCTGAGATGATGGGGTTTTCTAAATATACAATCATGTCATCTGCAAACAGAGACTATTTGATTTCCTCTTTTCCTAAGTGAATACCCTTTATTTCTTTCTCTTGTCTGATTGCCCTGGCCTGAACCTCCAACACTATGTGGAATAGGAGTGGTGAGAGAGGGCATCCTTTTCTTGTTTGAGATACGTTCCAACAATACCTAGTTTATTAAGAGTTTTTGGCATGAAGCGCTGTTGAATTTTGTCAAAGGCCTTTTCTGCATCTGTTGAGATAATCATGTGGTTTTTGTCATTGGTTCTGTTTATGTGATGGATTATGTTTATTGATTTGCATATGTTGAACCAGCCTTGCATCCCAGGGATGAAGCTGACTTGATTGTGGTGGATAAGCTGTTTGATATGCTTCTGGATTCGGTTTGCCAGTATTATATTGAGGATTTTTGCATCGATATTCATCAGGGATATTGGCCTAAAATTCTCTTTTTTGTGTGTGTGTCTCTGCCAGGCTTTGGTATCAGGATGATGCCAGCCTCATAAAATGAGTCAGGGAGGATTCCCTGTTTTTCTATTGGTTGGAATAGTTTCTGAAGGAATGGTACCAGCTCCTCTTTGTACCTCTGGTAGAATTTGGCTGTGAATCCGTCTGGTCCTAGACTTTTTTTGGTTGGTAGGCTCTTAATTATTGCCTCAATTTCAGAACCTGTTATTGGTCTATTAGGAGATTCAACTTCTTCCTGGTTTAGTCTTGGGAGGGAGTATGCGTCCAGGAATTTATTGATTTCTTCTAGATTTTCTAGTTTATTTGCATAGAGTTGTTTATAGTATTCTCTGATAGTAGTTTTATTTCTGTGGGATTGGTGGTGATATCCCCTTTATCATTTTTTATTGCATCTATTTGATTCTTCTCTCTTCTCTTCTTTATTAGTCTTGTTAGTGATCTATCTATTTTGTTGATCTTTTAGAAAAAACAGCTCCTGGATTCATTGATTTATTATTATTATTATACTTTAAGTTCTAGAGTACATGTACACAATGTGCAGGTTTGTTATGTATGTATACATGTGTCATGTTGGTGTGCTGCACACATTAACTCATCATTTACATTAGGTATATCTTCTAATGCTATTCCTCCCTGCTCCCTCCACACCATGACAGGCCCCAGTATGTGATGTCCCCCATCCTGTGTCCAAGTGCTCTCTTTGTTCAATTCCTACTATGAGGGGGAACATGTGGTGTTTGGTTTTCTGTCCTTGTGATAGTTTGCTCAGAATGATGGTTTCCAGCTTCACCCATGTCCCCACAAAGGACATGAACTCATCCTTTTTTATGGCCGCATAGTATTTCATGGTGTATATGTGCCACATTTTTTTAATCCAGTCTATCATTGATGGACATTTGGGTTGGTTCCAAGTCTTTGCTATTGTGAATAGTGCCAGAATAAACATACATGTGACAGTGTGGTGATTCCTCCA